>NC_000001.11:243759879-243911394 GCF_000001405.40 Homo sapiens | reverse complement strand
TCTGAGCAATAGAAATCACAGATGTTTTGATATTGCACTATAGTTTTATGGATATCTCCAAAGAGCAAGTACATCACAATGCTCATCACAATTTCAAAATTATAGTAGTTATTAGACCCATACACATTACTATATATGGTTGTCTTTTGGGGGGGCTATTTTGACTATTAACCCCCTCCCCAATCTCTAGATTCATAAAGCCAACTCTCTCCTATCATCTCTAGTTGACTGTCTAATAAATATCTCAAAGTTAATCCGTCTAAAACAGCTCTTGATTCTCCTCCCCAAACCTGCTGCCCATATCTCAGTATAGAGGTTCCATCATCCATTCAGTGGCTTACACCCAAACCTAGGAGTCATTCTTCATTCCTTCCTCCCTTTCTCTCATCCCCCATTAGCAAGTTCTGTAAGTTATGGCTGCCAACTTCTTAGTCCACCCCCTTGGAACCACCTGCGGCCCTGATCACTCCACTCAGCCTCGCAGAACTCCTTTCTGTCCCCGAACCCTCCAGGCCTGCTGTCCCCTTGGGGTCATTGCACTCCCTCTTGCTTCCTTTTGCCTCTGCAGATTCTCATGTGTCTTTCACTTCCTTATCCTCTGGGCCTCAGCTCAAACGTCATCGACAGCATATTTTCCAACCTGTCACTGTATTTCCACACAAGTTGCTTGCTTGTTTCCTGTCTGTTTCTCCCTGCTAGAATGTGAGCTCCATGAAGGCAAGAATCTTGTCTGTCTCATTCGTTGATTACATAAGAGACCATTAACAATGTGTTAAATGAATAAATGCTTAACCAGCCACTTAATATGCAGTTCTTTTGAAGATTAATCAAAACAATGCAAGTTAATCCCTCAAACTGTCCCACCTCATGGGGAGTGCTCAGTCAGTTCTCCCCCAACAGAGTCCTCACTTTCTCATGATGCCACCACCACCATGGAGATGATCCATGCTTGGTCTGACAAATGCGTCCTCTTAGTGACACAAACACAAAACTGGAAATCAATTGAAGTCACAAAACAGAATACGGCATGCACAAATAGAAATGCCTTTAGGGAATGCAGGGTCAATTTGCTAAAATAAATGCAGATCAGAAAGAATACAAATTTGGAGGGAGGAGATCCTGCCTGGGTTCAAGTCCCTGTTCCTTTCCTTCCCACCATAGTATGTTAGCAATTTATTCAATGCCTCTGAGCCTCAATGTCCTAAGCTGTACACAAGGGTAAAAATACATACCTTACAGGTTGTGAATGCTGGGTGAGATAACAGGGTACACATAGCAAACTCTCTGTACAGTATCATTTTCATTTACCACTATAGCGAATCCCCTAAAAAGAAGCAAGCACTTACAGTTGCAAGGAACCTTACAGAGCTCCTATTTTGTCTTATTTTATGGTATTTAATTTCAGAAATAATGAAGATTTAAAAAAAAAAATCCATACACAGCTGGGCGCAGTGGCTCACGCCTGTAATCCCAGCACTTTGGGAGGCCGAGGCGGGTGGATCAACAGGTCAGGAGATCGAGACCATCCTGGTTAACACAGTGAAACCCCGTCTCTACTAAAATTACAAAAATTAGCCAGGCATGGTGGCGGGCGCCTGTAGTCCCAGCTACTCGGGAGGCTGAGGCAGGAGAATGGCGTGAACCCGAGAGGCGGAGCTTGCAGTGAGCCGAGATCGGGCCACTGCACTGCAGCCTGGGCGACAGAGCGAGACTCCGTCTCAAAAAAAAAAAAACCAAACCAAAAAAAAACAAAACAAACAAACAAACAAAAAAAACTCCACACACTTTACAGAATAGGCAGTTGCAAACAAGGAGAATTTACCAAGAATTTTTTTAAGGCCATAACAAATTTCTTTGTTTCTTGCTAGCATTGCATTTGAACGAATCCTTTCCCCAGCAATCATGCTGACTTGGATTCATATCTGTATTCAGCTTAGACTCCCACTGTTCTTTATGGGTAATTTTCAAATCTTTCTATAAAAATCGACACGCAGTTCCTATTGATAAATAACAGCCTCAGAGCTTTTACCTCCTGCACACTATTTTGACACATCACCACCCTGAAGAAGATTTATGTTTAAAAAAAGTAATTTGTCTAAAGGAAGAGGGTATTTTCAAACCATACTTCTAAAAAATGTCAAATAACAGGAATAAAAGAAGAAATGAGCTTTCGAGTAAAAGCACCTGAATAAAATAAGTCTCAAAAAGAATAAAGAGATCAAGAGATAACATAAAAAGGAAAATTAGGATCTAAACATTTATTAGAAGTGGAAAATGAAAGTGTAGCTGCATTCTTCTCCAGTTGGTCAAGTGACATGAAAATGTTCATGAAACAGGAAAAGCGACGATTTCAAACTGGTGGCTTTACCCTTTGAAAGACTCTCTCTCTCTTTTTTTTTTTTTTTTTTTTTTTTAGAATTTCAGGATTATGAGAACAAATTGCTGGAGTTAATATGCAGATACAAGTCCTTCATTATAGGTGATTTCCATTAGTAACTTTAATAAAAGTTATTACAACTTCAAATAAATACAGGTAAGAAGTCAAGTTATAGTCTAACCCTAACTACAAAATGTGAATCACTAAGGCATTCTATTCAGCGAAGAACCTAGTAATTTGAGGGTGCTCAAAGATAAAAATTGTAAGTGCCACCACAGTTATTCCTACACAATTTTGACCCATAGTCGCCTTTTTTTCCTGGCTAACAGGATTTTGTTAAAGAACCCCAAACAGCTGCTGATGTTAGAAGGGAATCTCTTATTGATCGAAGCCCTTGAAACCAGTTTCTTAATTAAAGGGAAACCTTTTTCCCCAAGAACTTATTACTTAGCAACCCTTCATTGTTTATGTGAATCTATCCTGAAGTCTCTCATTTTAATTAAAAAGAAAAAATCATTTGCCATTCTATTCCTCAATGTTTGGTTCTGTTGCAAATACTGTCCCACATTCCATCTCCCTGCCCTAAAAAATACATTCTTTTTCTGATTAGAAGCACCTTCACATGGGGCTAGGTATGGTGGCTCACGCCTGTAATCCCAGCACTTTGGGAGGCCAAGGCAGGCAGATCACTTGAGTCCAGGAGTTCAAGACGAGCCTGGCCAACATGGCAAAACCCCATCTGTACTTAAAATATATTTTAATAAACCAGCAGAGTGTGGTAGTGCATGCCTGTAATCGCAGCTACTTGGGAGGCTGAGGCATGAGAATTGTTTGCACGTGGGAGGCGGAGGTTGCAGTGAGCCAAGATCGTGACTACACTCCAGCCTGGGCAACAGGGCAACAGAGTGAGAGAAAGAAAGAAAAGAAGGAAGGAAAGAAAGAAAGAAAGAAAGAAAAAGAAAGAAAGAAAGAAAGAAAGAAAGAGAGAAAGGAAGGAAGGAAGGAAGGAAGGAAGGAAGGAAGGAAGGAAGGAGGGAAGGAAGGAAGGATCTTCACATGGGCAATAAGCTAGGACTTTCATTCCAATCAACCCGTTCCTGCAGCTGTTTAAATCTTCATGCTCCAGTTTTGTTTGTCCATATTAGGGCTTTTGCCCATCAAGCTCTTTTGGTTTGGTGGCTAGTTATAGAAAAGAGGTTAATTTGAGGGAAGACTATTGGGTACCCAATAAAACTGGTATCCCTTTGGATGCTTCTAGGCTAACACTCTAGTTATTTTCCCTTAAGTCAAGGTACTTATACAACTTCCAGAAGGTTTGCACAACTTACTACTGGTATACAGATTATAGAATTAAGTAATATAGAAAAAAATAACAGCCATATCAAACCATGAAGCAATAATTTGGACTAAAGTTTGGATTTTTTTTAAGTATTAAAAGATGCTGGCCAGGTGCAGTGGCTCACACCTGTAATCCCAGCACTTTGGGAGGCTGAGGTGGGCACATTGCTTGAGCCCAGGAGTTTGAGACCAGCCTGGGCAACATGGTGAAAGCCTGTCTCTACAAAAAATACAAAAATTAGCCATGTGTGGTGGTATGTGCCTGTAGTGCCAACCACTCAGGAGGCTGAAGTAGGAGAATCACTTGAGCCCAGGAGGTTGAGGCTGCAGTAAGCTGTGTTCACACCTCACACCACTGTACTCCAGTCTGGGTGACAGAGTGAGACCCTGCCAAGAAAGAAAGAAAAGAAAAGAAAAGAAGGAAAGAAAGAAAGAAAGAAAGAAAGAAAGAAAGAAAGAAAGAAAGAAAGAAAAGAAAGAAAGAAAGAAAGAAAGAAAGAAAGAAAGAAAGAAAGAAAAGAAAAAGAGAAAATGATGTTAGCTTCACGTGAAAGATTATTATATTAATTCTATCTCTATGTCTGTCATAGTTCTCCATAACAAAATATCCCAAAAGACTAACATCTATTTGTTTAAGCTGATTTTGACAATAAACAGTACAAAGCACATTTAGTTTTGTTAACTATAAAAAGATTGAGCTTGCATATAAGACACAAGTTCCTGAACAGAAAGGCACAAGAATAACGAGAGGCTACCACAGCCACCCCTGGAACAATGGTGAGCACTCAATTCTTTTCAGGAAATGTGAGAATCATAAATGGAGACATTTGCAAACAGGAGAGGCAAATTTAAATTCTGAATGTTTAGGAACTAGCTAGTCACAGGAGGTTGTAATAGGTGAATTTTTGAGGGTCCTCATACCTCAGCCTTCTACATCTGTATATATGTATTCGTAAATATCGAGTTGTAATTTAAAAATTCAATCAGTCATTATTATCTAGTCTGTATTTGAGATTTTAAAAAAACAGATATCTGGAAACCTCATTTAATGCCATGAAGAGAGAAAGAAATTATACAGCCTAAAGCACTATAAGCCTGCCACCTTATAGAGCACTCATATTCTCAATTACTGAAATAATTTAAAATAAAGTTGGTCATTTTCTTCCCTGTTTGAGTAGCATATGTTACAGTCAAGAGATTTGCTCACAAGTTTTGCCATCTTTCTGAATTTTCCTGTCCTCATTATTTTTTAAACATGTCAATAAGAGCAAACATAGATTGTGCACTTACTATGTCCCAGATATGATATGAAAACACTTCGTGTACACTCTTTCCCCTGCCATAGTGTCCATTTGACAGATAAGAAGCCTGAGGCATGTAAAGAATAAGTCACTTGCCCAAGGTTTTTCAAGGATGGATCTGGGATTTGAATTTCTGGTGAAGCAGTCAAGGTTCTTAGCGGCAAAAATAGAAACTGACTAGCTGGTTTTCGCGAAAAGAAAAAATTATTTAAAAGATGATATGGAATTTCCAGGAGGGCTACAAAAACAGCCATGAGAAAATGGACAGGAACGGCCGAGCAAGGTGGCTCACGCCTGTCATCCCAACACTTTGGGAGGCTGAGGCGGGCGGATCACAAGGTCAGGAGTTCAAGACCAGCCTGGCCAATATGGTGAAACCCCATCTCTACTAAAAATACAAAAATTAGCTGGGCATGGTGGTGGGCACCTGTAGTCCCAGCTACTTGGGGGGCTAAGGCAGGAGAATTGCTTGAACCCCAGAGGCGGAGTTGCAGTGAGCCGAGATCACGCCACTGCACTCCAGCCTGGGCAACAGAGAGAGGCTCCATCAGAAAAAAAAAAAAAAAAAAAAAAGGGACAGGAACAAAGGGAAGCTATGCAGGAAGAACCACAGGCCCAATCATGCTACTAAACCAGCCTGGCTGATTCCACTGTGCAGTTACATTAGACATGAGTGGCAGCGACCTGCAGCCCCAACAATGCTAGCACTGGGCACTGGACATTGATGCCAACACCACTGCTCTTTGATACCTTGGAAATCGGGTTTTACAGCTACCACTGCTGCCACCAGAAAGAATCTTTCACTCTACCTGCATTTTTGTAACACCAGATCCTAATGTGAAATCTGGAGCAGGTGAGTCCATTTGGCTGAGTCTAGGTCATGGGCCAGACACCAGCAGCAAGGAAGACTGAGAAATGAGTAGTCTTACACTTTTAGCTTCTCAATAGTGAGGGTGGGATCTAACTTGCATCAAGATTCCCATGGTGAGAAATCTCCTCCTAAGAAGAAAAAGGCCAGATATTGTTCATCACCATATCTTAAGCCATTTATGCCTAGTATTCCATTATTGGAACTTTAAGCTTGTGGGAGTTATTTATATCCTACTGCTCAAGGTCATCGCCAAGGTCTGATTTTTCACAAAAAAATTTTGCAACCTCCGGCATAAGTGGGTTTTAAGCATTTAGCGTAATACCTACCGCTAAGTAGTTGTTTAACTAATATATGTGAAACGAAAAAATGAATGTATGGTCCAGTTGTCTCGGGGAGGGACACAGGGAAAAGCAGGAAAACACTATCAATAGCTAATAACACGATTGACATGGGCAGACCAGAAAGCGCATGCAAGTGAAAGTTACAGGTAGTGGACGAGTTAGCCTGGAGCCCCTCCTCCAGCACACGTGGAAACTGCCAAGGCTAGCACTGGTCTGCTTCCTTACATCCTGGGTATGTCATCTCTACCAGCGGTCCAGATCCTCACCCACAGCAAGAAGGCAAATCTGAAGAGCCCCAAACCCGCAGTACTGGTGACTACAGCTGTTGCCAAGCAGACCAGAAACAACTCATTTGAAAGCATGGAGAAAGCAGTGAGTGCCACCTAGGTACAAAAGGTTTTCCAGGCATTATCTCATGTAATCAGAACTTCAACACTGTGAAGTAGCTACTCTTTTTTTTTTTTTTTTTTTCTGAGAGAGTCTCGCTCAGTCGCCCAGGCTGGAGTGAAGTGGCGCGATCTCCGCTCACTGCAAGCTCCGCTTCCCGGGTTCACGCCATTCTCCTGCCTCAGCCTCCCGAGTAGCTGGGACTACAGGCGCCCTCCACCACGCCCGGCTAATTTTTTGTATTTTTAGTAGAGACGGGGTTTCACCATGTTTGCCAGGATGGTCTCCATCTCCTGACCTCGTGATCCACCCGCCTGGGCCTCCCAAAGTGCTGGGATTATAGGCATGAGCCACCGCACCCGGCCGAAGTAGCTACTCTTTGCAGCTCCATTTTACAGACTAGAAGAGCTAAGGCTCGGGGAGATCAGCTTGCCCAACGTTATATAACTAGGAATTGGCAGAATCTGGCTTTGAGTCATATCTCATTGGCTCCACATCCATCCTCTTAAGCGCTACACAACACTATACAACGGAAACTTAAACTATAAAAATAGGTCATTGCGGAAAGCATTTCTGTTACAGAATTTACTAGCTTCACTGTCAACTTATCTCATTATTTCTTATTTCACATTTTTACAGGAGAAATCAGCCTACACTTGAGCTGGCTCCTGTGAGGGAAATGGAGGGCTGTGCTTGATGCTCTCCAAGGTTCTGAAAACCAATGTTTGAAATTTAAAATTTAACTGCCAGAGTAAAGGTAGCATCATTTTATATTGGCTCTTCAATTTTTACACCCAGGGCAAAGCCATCTGTGAGCGGATGAAAATGAAATAATTATGAAATTTAGGCAGTTCTTAAGAAACTAAGTTTTCAACACACCCACATCCATTCACTAAAATTAAGGGATATGAACTCTGAAAACAGACTTCCTTTATACATTTTTGGCTTTTCTCCACAGTTATGAAAGTCAATCCATGCCAGTAATGTCTAAAATCACGATGGGAATTTTTTGAGTGCCGCAGTAAATATATTCTCTTGGATATGTATCATCAGTCCTGGAATGTTGCTGAGGCCAGAGTAAGCATCTGGAACCAGGGTACCTGGTGGCATAGGCAAGAAACAGCCAGTGGGGTGAGGATCGGAATCAGAATTGGCAGCCAGAGAGTCTGGAATAAGAAAAGAAATCAAAAGGAAAGGAAGGGAGTAAAGATCTGAAATAAAGAAAAAAATACCCTAAAAGCTTGAAAGGGGCCAGGCAGAAAGGAGATGAGGCTGTGGCCAGTGGCAAGTCATGGCTTTCAATTCATGGGGAGAAAGGTATCATCTGCTGTCTCTTTACTCCTAATACCAACTGCAGCGATGCTGTTTCTTTCCAAGTCTTTCTACATAGCTCCACGGGGGTTGACATTGGGCTGGACTGACATCTGCTGCTACTTCTTGCTGCATTCTGTGCTATTTGGAGATATTCTATTGATATCATCCTTCTTTGACCTTGCTTCACTCTTCCCCCTCCCAACTCTCCTTCCGCTGTCCTATTTGTAGCAACCGCTTTAGTCCACTAACAAGGGCTCTTTTATCTATTGGTCCTGCTCTTGCTTTTGTTTCTCTTGTCTATTTGGAGTTAGCTTCTTGATAGAAAGCCAGCACAAATTCTCTCTTGTCCTTGAGAAACTGTTGAACATAGCTGACTTGTTATAACCAGCAGGTAAAAGGATAAGCTAATTCTATATTTCACAGTAGTCTGTTTAGCAGCCTTAAACTTTAGCTAAGCAAATAACCATTTTCCTTTGCAGAAATTGTCATCCTGCCCTTATAATAACAATCCCAAGCCACTGAGTTGCAGAGACCACATGTGTTTAGAATAAATAAATAAAAAGAACTGAGCTCCTGTCATATGGATTCTGGCTTAGGCTGTTTGGATCCTGCCACTGCAGCTGAAGATGGGTTGCTGCTTACAGAATACTAATTGCTATTACTATTCTGAACTGATCTCTCTTGTGAAAGAAAAAAATATGAGAGAAAGCTGATTCTAGGTTGGTCACTCGAAATCCTAATCTAAGTTGGGAGAAATTCTATGTGCCACTTATATACATGTATTCACATAGGTAGGTAGATAGATAGATAGATAGATAGATGATAGATAGATAGATAGATAGATAGATAGATAGATAGATAGATTACACACAGATGCAAATATAAATGTATAAACATATATATATATCTCCAGAATTTTTACTGAGATTCTTTTGTGGGTTTGTACCAAGTCAGAAGTATCATGTCTTTATAGTTACAAGTTTTGTGTGCTAACTTAGTCACAGCAGCCTGTCAACAATATTTACTGTGGGCTCAAGTGTACACAGAACAGTAGAGGGCTGATCTTATTATTTGCTTGGCTCTATTTAGATAGAACAAATTGACCTGAAAGTCTGTTTACCAGAGATTTATCATTGATCATGTATTCTTTGATGTACCTTCTCTTTCGTGGATTTAACATCAGATATTAGCAAACCTGAAGATAAGAGGAGAAGTATTTATCCTTGTACCTGGAGAGAGGTTTTTCAGGTTTGGTGGGAAAGCTAGGAATTTGGAATCAGGGGACCTGGGACTGAACCCTGGCCCTGCTACGTTGCTGGAGCACAGGCAAGTGACTGGCTATTTTTGAGCTCTAGTTTACCACCTATAAAATAAAGGTAAAATCCCTCTCCTGACTACATCACAGGATTATTATCAGGATTAAGTGAGACCATAATATGAACCAGCTTTGTAAACTAAAATACTCTACAAAGCAAGGGATTAGTAACTATGATAATAATTTAACACAGTGGCTATGAAATGGTACAAGCTGTCAGGATTAAGGATCACAGTTCAGAGGATGGCCACTTTAAATTATTGTCAACCTATTTTCCCAAGCACCAGTTAATACTATTATAATAAATTCAAAATACACTTCAATTTTCTCCTGCTGGGATTTCATTCCACTGGATGAATTGTTCAAAACTGAAAAATCATTAGAAGGGGAAGGAAGTAATTTGATTCAACAAGGATCTTTTCATTTTAACAATATTCTTTCTAATGCATATACGGTAAAGAGGATCATTAAAATAATCTAGAATATATCTGAAAAAAGCTTACCAAAAAGTGAAACAGTTCTGCATATTTTCTGGTTAATTACCTCCTCTCAGGTACCAAATTTATAATAGGACCATTAGGGAGATTTCTAGAGAGATACATCCTCAGTGAAGAGCATTTGAGTACTTGAATGTTCTAAGAGACATTAAAGAGCATTCTGAGAGTGTTCTCTTCAGAGGCATGCTCTTCAGGAGATGGCCCATTCCTTGTTTCTGGCAAAGACTAAATGAACTTACCACAGAAGAATGGAGGAGGGGGTTCAAATACTAGATCAAGGTTTGGGCTAGATCAGTAGTTACCATTTTAGGCTTGTCAACCTTTTCCCGCAAGTTAAAAAAAAAATCATCAGCTATCACCATCGTTTCATTTTAAAAAATGCAGAGGGTATTTTAACACTGAAAAAGTGGAATAGGTATAATCACAGGATAAACAACAATCCTCCAAATACAGATAGTCCCTGATTTAACAATGGTTCCACTTCACAATGGTGTGACAGTGATACGCCGTTTGGTAGAAACCATACTTCGAGTACCCATACAACCATTCTTTTTTTCGTAGTCAGTATAGTATTCAATAAATCACATGAGTTACTCAACATTGTCATTAAGTAGGCTTTGTGTTAGATGATTTTGCCCAACCATATGCTAATGTAAGTCTTCTGAGCATGTTTAAAGTAGGCTAAGCTAAGCCATGATCTTTGGTAGGCTAGGTGTATTAAATGCATTTCCAACTTACAATATTTTCAACTTATGATGGGTTTATCATCAGTGTATACCCCATCATACGTCAAGGAGCATCTGTATAATAATTTAGTTTTTATTGAAGAACTGACTACATTGTTCTTAGAGTTCTTGTTTTATTGTGAACCTGAAAAACTTCCTCTGAGGCCAGCACCTGTTGTTGGGCTAATATTCGGTAGTAGTTGGGAAGTCCTTTCAACCTGAAAATACTATGATCACATAAACATATTTAAACAAAATTATTTACTATTTTTCTAACACAAAATAACACTTTTCAATTAGAGTATGTGAGCAGCTATTTGTAAAGCTATGGATGACTTCAAATTTTGAGAGTCTCTGCCATCAGTGAGAGTTTTGATGAAAAACAGTTTGATACTTTCATCACTTAATTCTGGTTACTCACCATCACACAATGAATTCACTTAAATAGCTAACAGAAAGGAAACTAGAAAAAAACCGATTGCAGACTGTTCTCTATTGATAAAATTGCACAAGCTGTTCAGATATTGTAACAGAGGACATTTGACATTTTCCCCCAGGTGTAAGGAGGTGGCAAGTTCAATTTCTCAGGATGTTGCACTGGTGATTTCAGTTGCTCTTTGCCAGCGGTGTGGAATTCATCTGCGGTTTTCTATTTCTATTAGCTGTGAGTTTCTCTGCATTCAAGTTCCATCTGAGAACCCGACTAAACTTAGCTCATTTTAGAGAGAACAGCTCCCACTGGGAAGGTGTCACTGGATAAAGTCTCATGACCTAGGTGTCTGAGAAATACAAGCTCTGCAGTTTTGTTCCTTAGGAAAGAGAAAAAAATGTATGAAAATATCATCTTTGTTTTTCATACCCATCATCAGATATTTACTAGGCTGGGCCATTTTATACAGAAGCACAAGAATCATGATAAATTGTTTCTCAACAGAACAAAGAATTTTTTAAAACAACTGATGTGTTTCCTAAGTGGAATGAACAAGATTGTGGCTGTGTGATAATATTCAGAACTTTATAAACGTGCTATACATAGCCATTTCATTTCGTGTTTTAGGCATTCTCTGCCCAGTAGAGTGGCTGAAATGCATAATAATTGTTTCTGTCTAAATCAGGTTTCCTTTTTTAAAGCTCCTGGAGGGACTGAGTTGATTTCTTGTCCTTATTTTCTCCCCGTATTACAGCCTATCCTGAACATCAGCAAATGTAGGATAATGAGTTCAGGGAAAATTAACCCATACCATACTAAGGCTCATACATTCATTCAATCATTTACTTGACCATCATTTGCTGCATGTCTACCCCATGGAAGGCACTGTGCTAAATTCTGGGGTTACCAAGGTGAAAAAAAGATTTCACAGTGTGATGGGATCTAGGTTGGCATGTATCAATCCAAAAGTGGTCAGGCCAGTGTTTCTCAAAGTTGAAACTTTTTTTTTAACCACGATCTACTGTAAGAAATAAATTTAATATCTCGACCCTGTACTCGTATACATGCATATACACATCTTCATGCACAGGTACTTGTACAAACACAGGCACACCATACTCAACTGAAACAAAATTTTTACAAAGCAAACTTCCTCTTTCTATACGTGATACACTGCATTATTTTCTCTTCTATTTCATTTAATTTGTTTTAAAGACTGATATGGCCAACTAAGTTGATTTTACAGCCCACTAATTAGTCACAATTTGCAATTTGAAAAACAGCAGTCTGGGAGTCTTTTGCTGTAGCTCCGTAAGCCGCTAAAAACATCAAGAAGTATATTGGACATGAAAACAAAAGACATTACTGAATTATATTAGAGTACTTCACCTGATTTACCTTAAGAAAGATATTGCTCATCTGAAAATATGGGACATTCTTTGACATGGAAGTGGTAAGCGTAGATCTAATTAGGTACCACTTTATAAAGGGTAGTAAATTTAAGGCCTTGATTGTATAGCAAATGATGGTATATGTGGGAAAAAATGAACAGATAAAAATTCCTTAAATTTAATCTTTTGTTCTGTTTCCATTTGCCACACTTGCACATTACATCTTTTAGAGACTAAAGGGAAGATCAAGGTGATGCAAATATCTGACACAGTTAGAAGTTTTCAGACATATGTCCAAACATCACACGAAGCAGCAGAGGAAAATCCAAGACACAAATGTGCTAATTTTTAAATACATTCAGAGACTAATTGATAAATTGCCTCATCAATGTCTAAAATATTAGTGTTATAACTGTTTCATATTTTTCTCAGGTATAACTGCCTGGTTACTTCATCTCAGTCTCCATTGGATTGCCCACTGTGGCTTGCTCCCTGGATTGTTTTTGTTTTTTTTTTTCCTGCATATTCTCTTTAGGGGATCCATCCATTCTCTTGCTTTGAACTTTCTCCTGAATGCTGAGGACTGGACAGCCAACCCAGATCTCCTCCAGGCCCGTTAATCAACTGCCTATTAGGCTGATCAACCTGGGGGTTCTATAGATACCAGAAAACAAACATATCTGAAGTGAAACATCCTCTTCTCCCGTAATAAATTATTGCTTATTTCCCAATGCTTCCTAACTCACTAAATATTACTAGATCACATCAGCCTGTTCCTACCTAGGAGTCATCCTTTCTCAGGTCCCAAAGCCAATCAATCAAGTCCCTCAGTTTTGCCAATTCTACCTTTTCAATATATGCTTTAATTCACCCCTTCTTCTTCACACACATTGCTGCTGTCAGTTCTGGTCCTTGCCACCTCTCACTGGTGCAAAAGTCTTCCAATTAGTCTCCTGCCCCTGGCCTAAGCCCCTGAGCCACATAGGCCAGGTGGAGGGTCTTTCAGCTCCACTGTCTTTGGGAAGCTTCAAAGTGCCTGCCATACCCACTACCCTCCTCCTAGGGCATTCTTAAGCCAAATTGTTGTATGTTACCACAAGCCCCACACCTGGCCACAGCTGATGAAAGAATCTGCCCCAGTGGTAGCTGATGGATCACAGACCTAGGAGGAGATCCAGCGTCAGAGACCTGCCCAAAAGTGGGTAGGGGTGGGTGAAGTGATTTGGCTGTGTCCCCACCCAAATCTCATCTTGAATTGTAGCTCCCATAATTCCTATGTGTTGTGGGAGGGGCCTAGCGGGAGGTAATTGAATCATGGGGGTGGGTCTTTCCTGTGCTGTTCTCATGATAGTGAATACGTCTCACGAGATCTGATGGTTTTATAAAGGGGAGTTCCCCTACACAAGCTCTGTTGCCTGCTGCCATGTAAGACGTGACCTTGTACCTCATTCTCCTTCAGCCATGATTGTGAGGCCTCCAGCCATGTGGAACTGTGAGTCAATTAAACCTCTTTCCTTTATAAATTACCCAGTCTTGGGTATGTCTTTATTAGCAACATGAGAATAGACTAATACAGTGGGGGTGCTCTGCACTGGATTAAAAGTGGCTGCCAACCAAATCCTCCCTCTTGGAGAGCTAAGACACAAAAAGAAGCTGCAAAAAGCAGTTGCATCTCTGCATGAGGAGGCACCAGGGACTGCCCAAAGCTGAATGGGCAATAGGACAGCACAGGGGCCAGAGCTGTCTAAATAAGAAAAACGGGAACAACGTCATTCCTGTTTTTATGAGGTCTAGCTGTGCAGTGATAGACATGGTTAGATGTCTTCCCTACTCTCCTCATGAATCCTTTCAATCATCCCCCATGAATTAAGCAAGTTTCTATTGCTTAAACCTCTAAGGAGCCCAACATTGCTCACCTCTTCCAATTCATCTCCTATGTGGCTGTAAATGAGTCTCCAAAATACAAACATGGGGTTCGTTCCTGCCTTACAATTCCTTAAAACTTCTCCTCCCTTACAGGACAAATATCTCGAGTCCTGAGCATGTCATACCATCTGGCCCTGGCTTTTCTCCCTGGCCCAAGGCTTCTGCCTACACTCCAGCCCAGGTGAACTCTAGCCTATGCTGTGCTCTCTCACATGCCTGACTCTACGCACCCTTCCTTCGGCCTCAATCCACCCTCTTGTCCCCCTGATAAATTCATTTTTCAAGTTTCAGCTCACACACTCTTCCCTCGGTAACACCTTTCCCCCAGTAACACTGTTTCCCAGGCAGTGCCTTCTACAAACTCCCATGAAAGCAATCATCATGTACATCGTAAACTTTCAAAAACTTGTAGTTAGTCTGATATTGCCTCCAGCTCCAGCCTCTGATACGCTTCCAGCTGGAATGGGAAGGCAGGGCTTTGTTTAGTAATTCCTAGTAGCCTTAATTCCTTCCCTTATTGAGCAAATACTTACTGGACACTTACATGCACGAGGCTTTGAGGATGCAACTATGAACAAGACAGGCACAGTCCTTGCTTTCCCAGAGCTACAGTGTGGCAGGGACAATTGGCATTCAATAACACAATGTGGTGGGTGTTATGTTACGGGCAAAAGAGGGTATGTGGGAGGCAACAGCACAATTGGAGAAGGCTGTTGTAACCTACAGATATTCACATGAGACCTAAGTGAGGAGCAGGGCTCCACAGAAAAGTTTTGACAAAAGAAGAAAAGGGGAAAAAACAAAGAAAGATGTCAGCAGAAAAGAAGCAGCACATGTAAAACCATTAAGGTAAGAGAAAGCTTGGTACATTCATATAAAAAAAATAAGCTCTGTGGAGCTTAGAGTGTCCAAAGGTGAGTGGCAGGTGACGAGGTGGGAGAGAGGGCAGTAGTCAACCCACTGGGGGTGTTTGGGTCATGCTATTGACTTGGCATTTTATTCTAAGGGCCAGTGAGGGCTTTTAATCAGGGAATCTGATTTTATTTTTAATGATCAACTAGCTTTTGTATCAGTTAGAGGTGAGGCAGGGAGGTGAGTTAGACGGCCATTGGAATAACTTAGGTAATCTGTGGTGGCAGTGGAGGTAAGGGAAGTGAATGAAATGGGGAGATGAAGGGGCTGAATGATCAGGACTTGGTGACTGGTTCAATGTAGGTGTGGTGGCCTTGTAATGTGTCAACTTGGCTGAGCTGAACAACCTGTCCTGGAATTCCCTTCTGTGTATATTTCCCGTGAAGGTGGCCCATGAGAGAGATTCTGGTGGGAGACTTGGAGGATGGAAGTGAAGCAACAGCCGTCTTGTAACTCACACACACTTCATTGGTGGAAGTAGTGGCCGGGCCTGCTACTGCTCCATCCTCTCCTGGACCCTCCTGTGGCTTCTCCCACTGCTGATCCAGCTGTGGGTGTCCACTCTCTAGCTCACACTACCACGGTCAGAGGCAACAAGACCTGACCCGGGTCTCACTCTGTCCGAGGGGGCTCCAGCTCACGTTTATGGGTCCCAGGCTATTTTTGTTGTCCTCTTTACATCTACCTTTCCCTTTTGACTGCCCATTTAGAGGACTTTAAGTTCCAACATCAAATGCAAAGAGAATAGCCTTTCAGAGAAGCATAACCATAACACTATGTAAGATCAAGTCCCTGTAACAAGTCCTTTAACATGTGTGTATGTACGTGTGTGCTTTCTACTTAAATCTATCAATAAATTAATATATATGTAAAATACACACACACAAATCTTTTGGCGGTTCTGTTCTCTGATAGAACTCTGGCTGATGTAGTAGGGTTGAGAGATACTGGTATCAAGAATAATTTCTAGGTTTCTGATTTGGGCAACAGGGTGGATGGTGATGTTATTTTGAGAAAGAGAAATCTTGGGTAAAGAACATGTTTGAGAAGAAGATGAAGAATTCTCTTTTGGCCAGGTGAAGTATGAGGTACATGCAAGACATTCAGTTCAGCAGGTGATCAAACAAGGCAGGTCAGAGCTTGAGACTTAAGCAAACAGCATCAAACATGCCCAGTCGCAGTAACAAAATTTCAAAATAAAAAGAACCCAATGAAAAGCCTCTTTAATAAGTTTTAATAATCCTGTACAATAAAACTCTAAAGCATCAGGGTTTTTTCTTATTCAGTATACAGTGAACATTAAAAAAAAGTGTTGAATAGTTGAGAGGCAAATTTAGTGTTTTAGAACATGATAATAGCATGTGGCTTGCTAGTTGCTTATGGATAACCCAACTTTCTAATAGTTTTCGTAAGTTACTAGAACACAAGCTTTATTAAAATTATAAACATTATATCCATTTTCTTTAATAAAGAGTAATAAAGATTCTCCTCCCTAGCTCCAATTAGGACTTTGATAGTCTCACGAGATTCCCACTCCCACTTTCCCAGATTAAGAGAGCACAAGCAACTGCTTTTACAAATGTCCTCTAAAGATCCCTCCCAAAGGGAAATGCTCATGACAATGAAAAATGGAGTAGGAAGAGAAGGAGATGATGTATCTCAACTTCATTTATACCTACTAACCTATTTTCTCCCTATGATAATGTTTTTTTTAATTGTCAAATAAAAACTGTGGCCAGGGGCAGTGGCTCACGCCTGTAATCCCAGTACTTTGGGAAGCCAAAGTGGGCAGATCACAAGGTCAAGAAATCGAGAACATCGTGGCCAACATGGTGAAACCCTGTCACTACTAAAATACAAAAAATTAGCTGGGCATGGTGGCACATGCCTGTAGTCCCAGCTACTCCGGAGGCTGAGGCAGGAGAATCGCTTGAACTCAGGAGGTGGAGCTTGCAGTGAGCCGAGATTGCGCCACTGCACTCCAGCCTGGGTGACAGAGCAAGACTCCGTCTCAGAAAAAACTGTATATATTTATGGTGTATACCCTGATATTCTGATATACTTACACATTGTGCAATGACTACGTCAAGATAATTAACACATCCATCACCTCACATACTTTTTTGCATGTGTGATGAGAGCATTTAAAATCTCCTCTCAGCAATTTTCAAGGATACAATCCATCATTATTAGCTAGAGTCACTATGCTGTACAATAGATCTCTGGAACTTACTCTCTAACTGAAACTTCCTACCCTTTGACCAACATCTCCCCATTCCCCGGGCACACTAACCTATTTTTATGATGTGCGTCTGATGCTATTTTTTAAAAATTGATTGTGTCCTGAATTCTTTCAGCTCTCAGGCCTTTAGATGATGGTGCTTCTTTTTCAAATGATAACAATGACCTAGCAACCTGTGCAAATTATTAAATCTTTCAAAACGTGCTCGTTTTTCTAAGGGAATAATATATGTGCGGAGAGCCTGTCTTATTACAAAAATGCTCTTGAGATTCCTTCAACTGCTCTAAATAAATAGTTGCAGGGCTCATATTTGCACACACTCAGTTTCAATATCAGGATGCCACTATAAAAAGAACCCACCCAAACATGCCTTTAATACATTTTAAGAATTCTATATAATAAAAATCTGAAGGCCGGGCATGGTGGCTCACGTCTGTGATCCCAGCACTTTGAGAGGCTGAGGTGGGCGGATCACCTGAGGTCAGGAGTTCAAAGCCAGCCTGGCCAACATGGTGAAACCCCGTCTCTACTAAAAATACAAAAATTAGCCGGATGTGCTGGTGGGTGCCTGTAATCCCAGCTACTCGGGATGCTGAGGCAGGAGAATTGCTTGAACCCAGGAGGCAGAGGTTACAGTGAGTCGAGATCTCACCACTGCACTCCAGCCTGGGCAACAGAGTGAGATTCTGTCTCAAATAAATAAATAAATAAATAAATCTGAAGCCTAAGGCTTTTATAGAGTAAAAATATCACATGATCTCAATATCCTTCATAATAGATTGTTAAGTTTCATTGCACTATGTGAGACAGGTCAGTATTCAGTTCTCATTCTTTCCAGGGGTAAAGGAATACACAGAAATCAGGCGATATGTGGTAACGTAGAAAGCAGCTGTGTCAAAACTAGAATTTACAACTTTTAATTCTTAATACTCAGGCTATTCAAGCCACAGTCCTGCAAAGTCTGCTTTCCCGATAATAAATGTTAACTACATTATTTATCTGAATTGTAAAATGAAATCTACCATAGAATTCCATTTATTGCTTTAACTAGAAAATTGAAAAAATACAATCCAGGTGAATACAAATATTAAAACTGTAGATAATCTTTTTTTACAAATTGAAAACAGCTTAATTAAACCAACAGAGCAGGTAAGGCAATTCTGTTATTTAATGACAACCCTCATCTGTTTGAAATAACCACCTTAATAATCAATACCGTGTTGAGACTTTCACCTAGCATTTATTTTAAGGGATGTCTTGTTTTGAACAATCATTTTAAATCCTAGTAAACTGAAGAATTAATTATCAAGCACGGAGGCTCAGCAAACTAATGCTTTAGTCTGTCAAACCATCTGCTCAGGAGCACCCTTCTCCAAATCTTGGCATTATTGAGGATGGGGGAGCACACTGCTTTCGATGCTTCTGCTGGTATACAAGTTGCTCCTTGATATTTAACCATTCCATCTTCCAAATACACAGGAAGAAATTCAATCTCAGAAAGAAGTTCATCAAAGTTCTGGCTCCCTTGGCACTCACAGTTAGCACCACAGTAAAGCTAAGCTTTCTTTAAGGGCAGGGACCACATGTTAAGATAGCTTATCTATGCAAATGAGTATTGTCCCTCTCAAAGTAGGGTCTATTTTAATCCAACAATTCTTCTATTCGTGTCATTTTAAAAATTCCATTCTTGGAATTTTCTTTCACATTATTTTGCATATTTATTCTCAAACAGTGGGAAAGAATCCTAATCTATTTAATATGGTTGGGTATTTCATGGTAAAATGTTATATAATTGTACACACCAACAAGACAAAATTTTATTTTATTGTTTTTAAACTGACTCAGGAGGCAATTCAAAAAAGGACTTCCAAAAATATGTTGAGCCAAAGACAACATGATTTGAATAAATATATAGCTTCTTCTGGGGGCTGCTTATATTTGGGTGTAAAGTACTATCTCAAAAAAAAAAAAAGAGTTTCATGTCCCTAAATATACCCCAAATATTGACCAATTGAAGTGTAAACCTGTTGCTTCCCTCTTCTGATAACAGTACACTGATCTCCTTTGAAAAAAGCCCCTCTCACCCACTCTCAGTCCATTTAGCCTGGGGAGGGCTGGGGCGGGGGCAAGGGAAGTGCACAATTCAGACCAGATCAACCAGGCACATTCCATCACCCATGGCTGCAATAATTGGTTCAGGGATGGGCCCTAACCCCAAGCTAGGCTAATGAAATTTAGTTCCAGGACTGTGGCTGAAATTACTGAAAGAGATAAACTTGGTTTCTTTTACATTCTTACCAAGTTAAGAATGTAAACCTGTAACTGCTAGAAACCATTATGGGGAGACCTTCCTGAGAATGTAGCCAGTACAGAGTAAGGCGGAGCTGAAAGATGGAGAAAGAGAATCCTGATAACATCAAGTTGCTAGATCCAGCTCAGCCTGAAGCTAGCTCCCTGAGCTTTTCAATTATATGAGCCAACACATTTATTTTCTGGATTTATATCCACTTGTGTGTTTCCATATGCATGGGTTCAGTCAAGGAAAAACCAAAATGTTATAGCTTCTACGCACATATACAAACATAGTGTGGCTTATGTTGTGCCCGCTTAGCTTGTTATTGAGTTACTGCTATCTTTAAGCACTTGCGTAGTTCATTTCCAATTTCATAGCTGCACAAAGGGGTTTTAATTTCTGATCTATTTCACAGTGCTGTAGATTTACTGGTGGGGATGGGGAAGAAAAGGTGGTTAACCTTTAAGGTGATTTTCATCAATGACCCCTTATGTTTGAAATGAAATGATTTTGAGTAAGATGTATCCAAAGCCAGTGATTTTAACTTACCAGGCTAAGAGAATTTAAACCAGAAATCAACCCTGACATCTTTTACTTTCCCTGTGTGTTACACAGCCTTCCTTTTGCCACGCAGGTCAGCAGCCCTTCAAGTCTTTCTGGCAGGATAGTTTCTGGGCTATCATAAAAGACACTCCTGGTCTATGATATCTCAGCACAGTAAACCCATTACAGGCTGTTTTTCTGCAAGAATCTGATCAATAGATCTGCTTCCCCAGGGGTAGAGAAAGAACTAACAGTGAGTCCTGATAAACCTTCTCTGGCATTGCTCATTTCCTCAAGTGCTATACATGGAACACACTTATTACTTCAGTCCTCTGCTATTAATAAGCCCTTCTTGAGGAAAAGCTAAAAGCTCTAATTCCATCCAGATGCAAGCAGTATGCAATACCAAGCACCTCTTTCCTGATGTTCTAGCAAAATTACTAAGAGTACATCATGACTCATGCGTTCTCCAGCATTCCTCTCTGCACTAAAATCTGAATCCAGGGAATTTGGAGCAAGGTGCCTCTTGGCAATGGACTTTTCAGAGACTGTAACTCACACTGTGGCTCTGCCATATACGGTCTCTCCTCACAGAGAAAGGCAGTCACCATTGAAAAATTCACTCAGGAGTTCAGCTGCACATCTTTAAAGCCCCTCAGAGAAAAAATGCGATGCGGCTCACTGCAAACCCACAGCATCTTCAAAAGATTTGTAAACAAGTCCTTTGCTGCAGACTCCATAATACTACCACTCCACATGCAAGGAGTCCAAAAAGCTTTCTTCTGTTAGATTCAGTGGAGATAAATAACCGTGCACCAAGCAGCCTTATACATTGAACCGAATGCTCAGACACAATACAATGATGTGTCTAAAATTTCTACCTGTTCCTTTTTCTACCAGAAACCCAACCTCCTGAGTACCTCACTTGCTCTGTGAAACTTGCCTCTCTGTCCTTTCTCTCTCTGTTCCTTTCCACAGTGATATTCTGGATAGTAAGTGCTTCTGAGAGGCAATAATAGTATTGGATAGCTTTAGTACGGTTTTCAAGAAGAATATTCTGGAATCTTTGTGATAGAACGTTTAGGAAAAAATATTTCAACCATCAAAACTTATAGGAAGAGCTTTAACTAGAACCTACCCTACCCCACCCCATCTCACTCCCAAGTAAGGCTACGTTAAGGGGAATACCTGTTCAAAGGAAAAACAAGTATATGGGAAGCTATCGCCTCTGTCTTGGAATAAGTACTACCTGTTTGCATAAAATTATAGCAGGAAGAGAAAGAAAGTAACCCCTAGGAAGTGTGAAAAGGGCAGGGTGTTTCTAGAATACTCTTTTTCCTGTGAAGTCTATTTTGGGGAGGGCAAATGAGGGGAAGAGGTAAACGTTTTACTAAAAGTGTGGATGTTGATATAAAACGTTGTTAAGGAAGACACTACTTAGTCCAAAAGTTGCCTCTTATTCTTGGATTCATTTCAAATAAAACTTTCTGTTTAAGATCTTTGAAAGAATTGTATTTATTTATTTATTTTGAGACAAGGTTTCACTCTGTTGCCCTGGCTCACCGAAAACTCAGGCTTCTGGGCTCAAACCAGCCTCCTGCGACAGCCTCCCAAGTAGCTGGGACTACGGTTGCGCACCTCCGCACCCAGCTGATTTTTCTTTTCTTTTTTTTGAGATAGTCTTGCTCTGTCACCCAGGCTGGAGTGCAGTGGCATGATCTCAGCTCACTGCAACCTCCACCTCCCAGGTTCAAGCAATTATCCTGCCTCAGCCTCCCGAGTAGCTGGGATTACAGGTGTGAGCCACCATGCCTGGCTAATTTTTGTATTTTTAGTAGAGACAGGGTTTCACCTGTTGGCCAGGCTGGTCTTGAACTCTTGACCTCATGATTCACCCGCCTTGGCCTCCGAAAGTGCTGGGATTACAGGTGTGAGCCACCGTGCCCGGCCCACATCCAGCTAATTTTTAAATGTTTTGTAGAGATGGGGTCTCGCTATGTTGCGCAGGCTGGTCTCAAACTCCAGGCCTCAAGCAATCCTCCTGCCTCAGCCTCTCAAAATGCTGGGATTACAGGCGTGAGCCACCATGGCCAGGCTTTAAAAGAAATTTCTACACGTTACCCTAATAGTTGGTTTGAGTTTTCTTTTGTTATTATGTAATTTCCAACTTTGAGGAAACTACTAGTATTTATAGGTAGAATTCACAAATTATGCAAATTGAAAATGTAAGAAATCTTTAGTTGCAACATTCACATCACCACCTAGAGTGACTAATTTTTCCAAATTAGTAAAGGAAGTTAGAACAATGAGTCAGTGAGTGGATCACCCTAATGAATAAAAATAAAATTTATGTTTTTCCCAGATGGACTGTATTTTTAAAATATTTATTAAGGTTTATTAATTTTCTGCCTAGATCTTGTTAATAGTTTTTCTCCGTATGTGATTCCACTCTTCAGTATGCTATAATATTTATACATGCACAATCCAATATTAGGTCACAGACATGGAATGGACCTTGATAGATAATCCAGACATACAAATAGTGAAGTATATTTTGATTTACTCAGGACTACAGACAGGCTAGCACCTTCTCTTGCCACACTTGAGAACCGTTTCAATATTTAACACAACCTTTAAGAAAGAAAGTCTGTGCTGCTTATCTAAATACCATCTACTAAACTATACATACAGTGAAGCCATTTATATGTCTTTTTTAGACCTCGTCAAATTTTACACACAATTAGATTGGCGTAGCAGGTCTGACTCTATGTTAAGGAAATGCCCTTATTATAGACGGCAGCAAGTATATGAACACACTTAAGCATTGTTTCTTTCTTTATTCAGCAAAGCTTCTTGAGCACCTGCTATGTGTCCAGCACTGTTGTAAGTGCTGTGGTGACTGAAGAAGACATGGTCTCTATTTTCAGAGAGATGCCTCAGTATAGAGGTGGCTGTGTAAACAGCATCACGGTAAAGGCTTTCCAAAAGCATGAGGGAATGGCTGTTGAGTGACTTGTGCACACACTAGAAATTATAAGCCTTCAGTTTGTTTTTTGTTTGTTTGTTTTTTTGAGATGGAGTCTCACTCTGTTGCCCAGGCTGGAGTGCAGTGGCGCAATCTCAGCTCACTGCAAGCTCCGCCTCGTGGGTTCACGCCATTCTCCTGCCTCAGCCTCCCGAGTAGCTGGGACTACAGGTGCCCGCCACCACGCCCTGCTAATTTTTGTATCTTTAGTAGAGACGGGGTTTGCACCATATTGGCCAGGCTGGTCTCAAACTCCTGACCTTGTGATCCACCCGCCTCAGCCTCCCAAAGTGCTGGGATTACAGGCGTGACCACCGCGCCCAGCCGCCTCTAGTTTTAAGGGGCGAAGAGTTATGAACAAGAGAGGCAGCTGGGCTAACGATAAATAAACTTTTAGGTAAAAAACAAACAAACAAACAACAATCAACAAAAAAAACGCGAGGCGCGGTGGCTCACTCCTTTTAATCCCAGCACTTTGGGAGGCCGAGGCGGGCAGATCACGAGGTCAGAAGATCGAGACCATCCTGGCTAACACGGTGAAACCCCGTCTCCACTAAAAATACAAAAAATTAGCCGGGCGTGGTCGTGGGCGCCTGCAGTCCCAGCTACGTGAACCCGGGAGGCGGAGCTTGCAGTGAGCCGAGATCGCGCCCCTGCGCTCCAGCCTGGGCGACAGGGCGAGACTCCGTCTCAAAAAAAAAAAAAAAAAAAAGCACCAAAATTAGATTAATAGTGTGGCCATAATCTTTTCTTGAAGAGAAAAGTTGAAGTTTGAAGGGAAAGACGCTAAAAATCCTCAGGGAATCAGTTTAGTAGCGAAGCAACGTGGAGATTGAGAGCACAAGAGTCTACGGGGACTTAAACACCAAAGTTCAGGAGCTGCGTAGAAGCCCAAGTATATTTCACGCAAGCCTAAGCAGATGAGTGCGGTGGAATCAAAGAGAATGATAAAGTCCCCTCTTAATTAGAGTAGCTGAGTCTTGTAACCCAGAAACCTTTTAATGCCAACCTGGCTTAAAGTCTCAGAACTCTCCTAGAAGTGGTCCGACTCCAGAAGAGTTAAGGATCCTTGAGTTCGATTTCCTTCCTTCTATTGCTTGTTGCAAATTCTACAGGAAAATTGGGGCTGGAGGAAACCGTGATTACAAATAGATTAATTGTAAAGGTGCTGTATTTGCCTAGGTATTTATATTTCTTTACATTTTACTCTGCTGTAGTCCAACTGACTATACTATTCTTCGACACATGTGCAAAGCCCTTGCAATTGAGAAATATATTTGTATAAAAATATATGTGATTAAAATTAATAATGTTTTTAACTCAGTTAATTATGCTTATGGGATTCTTGGCTCTTCGGGGGCCGAAGTACCATAAATCTGCACCCCGTCCACACACACTCATACCTGTAAAGACAGCTTATCTTAAACGCAGGCAAGATGAAGTAACAGGAACAGCTAACATCCGTTGGTTTTTGCTATATGGCAGACACTGTATTAATTATTTTGCATGTTGTATTTTAATTAATTCTCTCAACTACCTCAGAATCTAGGAACCATAGTTATCATCATTTTATATCTCAGGAAACTAAAAGGAAATTTGCACGAGTTTGCACAGCTGGCAAGCAGCAGAGCCAGAATTCCAGGCCACAGGAGATCTGACCCCAGAGCCCACTCTGTCCAGGATCACACGGTACAAATTTACCTCCTTTTTTGAAATATAAGCAGCAGGTAGGTACTGTCTTCTGAGGAGCAAAAAGGAAAGGAAACTAACATGGGTTAGAAATGTGAAAGTGGAAAATGAATGAAAGTTGTGAAGAACAGAGAGACAAAGAGCAGAGCTCAAACAAGACACATAGAGGCAGGGCATGGTAGCTTATGCCTATAATCCCAGCACGCTGGGAGACTGGGGCTGGAGGACTGCTTGAGGCCAGGAGGTGAAGACCAGCCTGGGCAACACAGTGAGACCCTCGTTTCTTAAAAAAAAAAAGAAAAGAAAAGAAAGAAAATTTTTAAAGGCACATAACAAGAATGTCATTAAAAATAATTTTAGTGAGGTTAGCCAGGGTTCTCTAGAAAAGTAGAACCAACAGGAGATAGATAGACACATGATAGATAGATAGATAGATAGATAGATAGATAGATAGATAGGATAAATGATAGATGAGATAGATAACAGAGAGAGATTAGAAAGATAGATAGATAGATAGATAGATAGATAGATAGATAGATAGATAATTTATTATGAGGGATTGGCTCAGGTGATTATGGAAGCTGATAAGTTCCACAACTTGCCATCTGCAAGCTGGAAGCCCAGGAATGTCAGTGGTATAGTTTGAACCCAAACCCAAAGCCCCAAGAACCAGGGCAGCCAATGTTTGTCCCAGTCCAAGTCCAATGCTAGAGAACCAGGAGCACCAATGACCAAGGTTAGGAAACATGAATGTTCCAGCTCAAGAAGAGAGAGCAAATTCACTCTTTCTCCACCTTTTTACTCTGTTGGGTCCTCAGTGAATTGGATAATGCCCACCTGCACAGGTGAGGGCAAATCTTCTTTACTCAGTTTACCAACTCAAATGCTGATCTCCTCCAGAAGCATCCTCATAGACGCACCCAGAAATTACGTTTGACCAGCTACCTGGGCATCCTTTCGCCCAGTCAAGTTGACACATAAAATTAATTGTTACATTCCATGACTACCTTGCTCCCTTCCTATCTTGTTCCACATTGTTGAACTCTCTTTATTTTATTCGAGAAAGCTATCACAGCTTGTATTTTTGCTTCTTTTTAATCTTGATCACTTCCTACACTGGTAGTTCTGTTTCCCCTCAGTGTACACATAGCACAAAGCTATACCTCGCACATAATCAGCACACAAGAAGCACTTATTGAATTAGTGATTGAATCAATTGACTAATGTAACTTTCAAAACTAGAGGCTCTGTTCCCAATAATGTCTTTACCAGTCAACTATAATTTATGTTTGTTCTTCTCTAACAACAGGAGACACTACCTAGCACTTATTCTCATGGCTTTCATCTCTGCCTCTTGGGCTTGTAATTCATATTTGCATGGCAGTCAAGACCCAGGGCATATGGAAAAGAGGAGGTTGCACTTAAAGAGGGAAGTATGGATCTCATTGAGATCAAAGAGAGACTATTTTTGTTAGTAGCTTCTGTGCTACTTAAATTTGTCATTAAAATCATTTCAGAATCACCTCCTCAGAAGAGGTGAGCTTTTTTGAAGGAATACGTAGGAAAAAGGTGATGTCAGATGGATAAGAGAATTTTGTTTCCACCATCTAGGGCCATGTGGAAGCACACGAGGAGGTGGAAGTATAAGGCAAGAGTGGGAGTGTTAAGCAGTTGTGATTTAAGAGCGTGGAGGTAGCAAATGTGGGAAGACGAGGGAATGACAGCACTCAGTTTAGCAGTGGGCTTAGCAATCTGGCAATAAACTGGGAGCTAACAAGGCCCACCTGGAGTGGTTAGTGACAAAAGAAACATTTGTAGCTCACCGAGAAGATTTAATTGAGGAGAAAATAATATGATGTTTGGCTAGCATGAAACTCATGCTGTATCTTGGACCCAACTTCTTTTGGAATTTTGAAACGGGCAAGAAGTGACTGACATGTTTGTGCTTCTGGACTGAAAACTTGTTTCTTTGGTGGTATTTTAGCACCCATGCCAGCATTATCGTTATTTGCTCCATACTGATTGTATCCTGGTTTTCATGTTTCTTAACATGAGACATTTCATTATTACGATCTTTCTTATTAAAATTGTTTTATTTTATTATTCGATTAACTTCTTGGCACAGATGTACTTTTTATGCTAATCATAGATTTGTGCCTTTTTAACTTTTTATTTTCCATCTTTTTCATGATAGTTCAACTTTGCTTGGTTATTTTATTTTTTTGCTGTATACTTATAAAACCTGTCTTCCATATTTAGTCATAAAAGATTCATTCACCTTAGAGATTCCAATATTCATTTTTTTAAAAGCCTACAGTCCATCTGTTACCATCTCCTCAGATATTAAATTTTATTACCCTTTGTTGTTTCCTGCAACTTTTGGCAGAAGAGACTATTCTCCAGTAAGCTCACTTACTTCATATGGCAAGAAATATATCAAGTTTTTGTCAGCATTCGCTATAGACAAATTATTAAGCATGTCCAAAAAAATGTTTATATTTACCACTTTTTATGTCATGGGTGCAGTGTGTAGGGTGGGGGATAAGTAGATCACAGATACAAAGGAAAGTCATGGAAATTGGAGTGTTGTATTAGTTTTCTATCACACTGTAACAAATTACCACAACAATGGCTTAAAACAACATACATGTATTATCTCACAGTTTCTGTAGGTCAGGAGTCTGGCATAGCTTAGTTGAGTCATCTCCTCAGGGTCTAGGCTGCCATCAAGGCATCAGGTGGGGTGCATTCCTTTCTGAAACTCAGGACCTTCTTCCAAGTTCATGTGGTTGCTGGCACACTCTCATTCCTTAAAGCTGTAGGACTGGGGCTGGCTTTCAGCAAAGCCACTCATGACTCCTAGAGACCATACACAGTTCCTTGCCATGTGGCCCCCTCACCGGCCTTTTCACGACATGATACCTTGCCTCTCAAGGGCAGCAGGGTACCTCATCCATTCTGATAAGGTAGAGTCCCATAAAACCTAATGCATACTCACAAGAGTAACCGTCCCCAACATCTTTGTGACACTAGGAGTCGATAAAGATCACCCTGACTCAGTGGAATGAGACGCTCCTCCCTTTCTCCTCTGGAGTTATGTCAGGGGAGGCCTAGAGGCCAGTAGAGGAGATTCAGGGCTTCCATGATCATCCATCATGCTATGGACTAAACTGTGTCCCCACAAAATTCCCGTGTTGAAGCCCTAACACCCAAAGTGACTGTATTTGCAGATGAGACCCATAAAAAGGTAACTAGGGTTAAATGAAGTCATAATGGTGGGCCTCTGATATGACAGGATTAGTCTCCTTATAAAAGGGGACACCAAGCCGGGCGCAGTGGTTCACACCTGTAATCTCAGCAGTTGGGAAAGCTGAAGCAGGAGAATCGCTGGAGCCCAGGAGTTTGAGACCAGCCTGGGAAACCTAGGGAGATACTGTCTCTACAAAAAGAATCATTTTTTTTTAATTAGCTAGGTTTGGTGGCACACCAAACTTGTGGTACCAGCTACTTGGGAGACTGAGGTTGGAGGATCACTTTAAGCCCAGGAGGTCGAGGCTGCAGCCTGCACAACAGACCAAGACCCTGTCTCAAGAAAAAAGAGAAAGGACATCAGAGAACTAGCACATGTGCATGTGTCCTGCCAAGTGTCAGGTTCCAGCCTATGCTGAGGTCCGAGGGGAGTGGGTGGATGGGTAGTGGATAGCTGAAAGAACACTCAAGGGGGCCATAGGCAGGTGAAATATGGCTTTTATTATGTTCTCTCTCTGCCAGCCTTTGTCTCGGCTGCCCGATCCGGCTGCAGCCCTTCTCAGCAGCTGGCTCTGCGGCTCCTGCCACCCCTACGGCTTTTCCTTATAGGGTTAGCAGCTTCACTCCTCTCTCTGGGTGTGAGCCGTATGTACAGTGTCAGCAGGGCAGTTATACCTTTTACAGACAACAGTGGCCCAGAGTAAGTATGAGCTTACATAAACAGGTTATATAATGAGTGCAGTTGGGTGCCTGTGCTCCAAACTTGCTGAGTCACACTGGCCCAGATGTCTGCCTTGACCTATTCTTGACTAAAGCACATCTATTTTCCTTACAGCATTCTCTTTCTCTCTCTCTCTCTCTCTCTGTATCTCCTTTACTCATGTATCTGACAAAGGACTAGTACCTAGAGTATATAAAGGACTATCAGTTCTTTAAAAACTCAACAGTTCAAAACCAAACAACAGCAAAAAATCCAATTAGAAAGTAGACAAAGGACAATACATTTCATTCAAGAGGATATGTGAATGGCAATATGTACATAAAAAGATGGTCAACATCACTAGCTGTTAGGGAAATGGAATCTAAGACCACAATGTGCTATCACTACATATCTATTAGACCAGCTAAAATGAAAAATAGTGACAACATCAAATGCTGACAAGGACACAGGGAAGATGGATCTTTCATACATTTACATTACGGATGGGAATGTAAAATAGGACAACCACTCTGGACAATACTTTAGCAGTTTCTTTAAAATCTAAACATACATTTACTCTGTGACTCAGCAATTGCACTCCTGAGTATTTATCTCAGAGAAATGAAAACTTATATCCACACAAAGACCTATACATGATTATTCATAGCAACTGGATTTTTTAATAGCCCCAAATTGGAAACAATCAAAATGTTCTACAATAGGTAAAGAGTTAAATAAACTGTGATACATCCACACCATGGCATACGATTCCACAATAAAAAGGAACAAACTATTAGCACATGCAACAACTTGGATAAATCTCAAAAGCATTATGCTGAGTGGGAAAAAAATAATCTCAAATGGAATACTTCATGATTCTATTCATGAAATATTCTCAAAATGAAAAAATATTATAGCAATGAAGAACAAATTAATGGTTGACAGGGGTTATGGATAGTTGAGAGGCAGGGTGTGTGTGTGACTATAAACCAGTAGCACAAAGGAGATCTTTATGGTGATTAAATAGATCTGTATCTTGATTCTGATGGTGGTTATATGAATCTACATATGTAATAAAATGACATAGAACTATACATGCACGTTATGAGAGTGTCAATTTCCTGGTTTTGCTATGGTACTATTGTCACATAAGATGTAACCAATGGGGAAAACTGGGTGATGAATACAGAAGACCTCTCTGAAACATCATTGTAATTTGCTGTCACTCTACAATTATTCCAAAAATAAAAAGTTTCAAAATTTGAAAATATATGTGTGTTTATGTATGTATGTATGTATCTATTTACTGGTAAAATTACTACAACCTTTAGGTGTTTTGTTTTGTTTTAATGATTTTTGAAGCCACTAATTTAGGACAAGAATATTTCTGTACCTCTACTGTATTACCCAGTCTGTGTATTGGTGGGATGACCTTGAGTAAACTCCCTGAACTTCTGTTTCTGTAGTTGTAAAATTGGGATAGTTATACTTTACATGCCCTCTGAGTTTTTCTAAGGGTCAAACAAGGTAATGTGAAAACCCCAACTCTCTACCTGATAAATGACAGACACTGAGTGAAAATTAATTTCTTTCCTTCCTTCTTGTTTTTCTTTCACTTTGTATTGCATTACTTGATGAATCCTTATTTTCACCTGGGTTTCAAGTACAATTCTGGCTCCATTATATCATGGTTTTCCCCTTTCTCTTTGATATAACACTTTTCTTTGGTCAAGGTACAGTGGCTTTAACTGAGAGAGTTTCTACAATTATGAACCTTCTTGAAGAGGACTTGCTTAGGTTTTGGGGGTTTTGTAAAATTCTTTATTTTTTCCCTTTCTTGAAAATTTCAGATGGCTCTTTTCCAATGCTTTGCTTAGGTTTTTAAAGGAAATGATTTAGCTGGGTGCAGTGGCTCATGCTCCTGTAATCCCAATACTTTGGGGGGCTGAGGCAGGAGGATTGCTTATGGCCAGGAGTTCAAGACCAGCCTGGGCAGCACAGTGAGACTCCATCTGTACAAAAAGTAAAAAAAAAAAAAAAAAAAATAGCCAAGTATGATGGTGCGTGCCCAGGAGCTTGAGGTTGTGGTGAGCTACGATTGCACTATTGCACTCAGGCCTGGGTGACAGAGCCAGACCCTGTCCACCCCCAACCCCCCCCAAAAAAAATAAAAAATAAAGATAATGATTCACAGCTTAGATAGATAAACTAAAAGTCTGATGGATAAAAGGAATGGAAGCTCTTTGTAGAAATGTTCATTCAAAGACTGGAGCAGGCGATGACTAAGATAAGCCTTGAGTGTCTTTTTGTGCCATAAAGTAAGAAAACTATGCAGAACTAATGGGATCATGTCTAAAGGAAACAGAAGCCTAACCAAATGTATTTCCACAGGTTAAAAATGGCACAAATTGGGCATCAAAAAGGATTAGTAAGAAGGAGGCATCCAAGACAGTATAATCTCCTTAAATTCCCCGAAAAACATAAACAGCAACTAAGATAGCGAAACAGAAGACTCATGAGTGATCTCTCACAATAACTCTAGGTGACAAGTATTTTTGTGGTCCCCCAAGTACACAACACCCTCACCTACAGGATGTGAGCAGTATCAGTATTTGCATTGGAGGAAAAAAGTAATGACCAATGATCCTCTAATGGCCTTGAGATCATGACAGCAACAAAAGTCACCATGTGGTACTCACTACAACGTGCAAGTTCATCTGAGAACAATGGCTGAAACTGACAGGGGGGTCTGCAGGATAAAACTTATGGGCAAATTCACAGGGACCATGTTGTAATCAGGCCTAATGATAGAAAAGATCAAATGGAGCAGTCGGGGTCTCATAAACTCTCAAAATTAACAAATTAAATCTCCTCTACAAGACAAAATTCTGCACTGAGGGCAAACTACTGAAAAGAGAATCCAGGTTAGGCAGGATTTGAACTACAAGGGCAAATAAAGAGAAGATCTAGTTAAAAGTTGGAAAGCAAAGTAAGGAGAAAAAGGAAACAAATCTTAGAAATTACTTTTGGTCACTTTGGAGGAAAAAAACCCCACACAGATTTTTTAGATCTATAGAGCAAGAAAATATCTTCTGCACTTCTCCTAAAAGTATAGGAAAAAAGATTACAGTGAAATTTCTTACAAAGTTATTATAAGAAAAAAAGAAAACAAGAGTAGAATAACATGCCTGTAGATAATAAAATCATGCCAGAAAAACGAGCCCATAAAAAAACTCACGAAAATTATAATTTAATATTTTTAAAAACTAAAAAAATAAAAGCATGGTAAAAATTATTAGATGACAACACATATCAAAATCAGCAAAATTGAAAAAATCAGATAATTATTGAAAACAAATATTTAAGAAAACAGGTGACAGAACTCAAGAAAGAATTAGAAAAAATAAAAATAATTTTAGAAATAAAAACAAAACCAGAAGGAACACACATATGCTTTAAGAGAAATAGAAAATGGAAATGGAAAAGTTTTAAAAAATAATAATAAAAAAACACATTAAGGAAAAGATAAGAATTTGAAAGAAAGACAAAGAAGATAAACAAAAGGCTAACATTCATGTAACAGGAACCTGAAAGAGAAAATGAAAACAATAGAACAGAATAAATATTAAAAATTATAATTCAAGGCACAGCACGGTGGCTCTTATCTGTAATCCCAGCACTTTGGGAGGCCGAGGCAGGAGGATCTCTTGAGGTCAGGAGTTCGAGACCAGCCTGGCCAACATGGTGAAGCCCCATCTCTACTAAAAATACAAAAATTAGCCAGGCATGGTGGTGGGCGCCTGTAATCCCACCTACTCGGGAGGCTGAGGCAGGAGGTGGAGGTTGCAGTGAGCTGAGATTGCACCACTGCACTCTAGCCTGGGCAACAAGAGTGAGACCCTGTCTCAAAAAAAACAAAACAAAAAAAAAAAGTTTTCTTTAATTCAAAAAAACTTTTTGAAATAAAAAATGACTTGAAACTATATATTGAAAGGGTACACAACTAGTAAAAATGTTGGATTTTTTTTTGTAAAAACAATGCTTCAGACTTCAAACAAAAAACTAAGACTCTTGTAAGGAAGGATAAAAGGCAGATTGTCATCAGAGTTTTCTACAGCAGAAAATGTAAATCATGGATTTAATATCCAGGCAAAATTAATTTCAAGTATGAAGGTCACAGGTAAGTTGCTACAAACAGGCAAGAACTCACATAATACTATTCCCATAGGGACGTCCAGAAAAATCTACCAGGGCTTCAAAAAATAAAAAAGACTAGCGAAACATCAAAACAAGAACTAGTGTTGAGCCCTATGTAAGTAAATAGTCACATGAAGAACTGAGACCAAATGACAGGGTCTACAATCATGATCTTACAAGGTCAAATCCAGGATGAAATAGCATAAAAAGTGATGTTAAAAGCACTTTATAGTGTTAAAGGCTATAGTCACAATGAAGATATAATAGTTATTGATAGTTATATACCTAATAAAATAGCACAGATTTTCACAGAGCAGGAACACAGAAAAGAAAAGGAGAATTAACAAACATGCAAATAATAGAAAAATTTAGCAGATTCTTAAAAGAAAGAGATAGATATAGAAAATAGACAAAAGCCAATATACATATAATAGGAACCAAAAAGAGGAAACCGAAGCAATAGAATACAGCAGAAAAGGAGAATTAAGAAACATACACATTTTTGCAATCTACTCATCTGACAAAGGGCTAAGCTCCAGAATCTACAATGAACTCAAACAAATTTACAAGAAAAAAAAACAACCCCATCAAAAAGTGGGCAAAGGATATGAACAGACACTTCTCAAAAGAAGACATTTATGCAGCCAACAGACACATGAAAAAATGCTCATCATCACTGGCCATCAGAGAAATGCAAATCAAAACCACAATGAGATACCATCTCACACCAGTTAGAATGGCAATCATTAAAAAGTTAGGAAACAACAGGTGCTGGAGAGAATGTGGAGAAATAGGAACACTTTTACACTGTTGGTGGGACTGTAAACTAGTTCAACCATTGTGGAAGTCAGTGTGGCCATTCCTCAGGGATCTAGAACTAGAAATACCATTTGACCCAGCAATCCCATTAGTGGGTATATACCCAAAGGATTATAAATCATGTTGGTATAAAGACACATGCACACGTATGTTTATTGTGGCACTATTCACAACAGCAAAGACTTGGAACCAATCCAAATGTCCAACCATGATAGACTGGATTAAGAAAATGTGGCACATATACACCATGGAATACTATGCAGCCATAAAAAAGGATGAGTTCATGTCCTTTGTAGGGACATGGATAAAGCTGGAAACCATCATTCTCAGCAAACTATTGCAAGGACAAAAAACCAAACACCGCATATTCTCACTTATAGGTGGGAATTGAACAATGAGAACACATGGACACAGGAAGGGGAACAACACACACCGGGGCCTGTGGTGGGGTAGGGGGAGAGGGGAGGGATAGCATTAGGAGATATACCTAATGTTAAATGATGAGTTAATGGGTGCAGCACACCAACATGGCACATGTATACATATGTAACTAACCTGCACATTGTGCACATGTACCCTAAAACTTAAAGTATAATAAAAAAAGAAACATACAAATAATGGAAAATTTTAACATAGTTCTCAAACCAAGACAGATCACAGGGATAACAATTTTAGTGAAGCCACAGAAAACCTGAATACAAAAATCAATGAGGTAGATGTACAGGTATATATTGTGCTCTCAAGCCCGATACTAGAAACTACCTACTTCTTAAATTCTCATCAATGCTCATGAAAAATGATCATATCAAGCCATAAAGAAAACCTCAATAAATTCCAAAGAATTGTCTGACAATAATGCAATCCAACTAAAAAATAATGAAATTTTAAAAAACCAGAAATCTCTTTCCTCCAGAAACATTCAGTTACAACATTTGATTCAAAGAAGACATACAGGCTGGACACAGTGGCTCACGCCTGTAATCCCAGCACTTTGGGAGGATGAGGTAGGTGGAGCACTTGAGGTCAGGAGTTCGAGACCAGCCTGGCCAACATAGTGAAACCCTGTCTCTACAAAAAAATTAGCTGGGCATGGTGGCAGGAGCCTGTAATCCCAGCTACTCGGGAGGCTGAGGCACAAGAATCACTTGAAGCCGGGAAGCGGAGGTTGCAGTGAGCCAAGATTACGCCACTGCACTGCAGCCTGGGTGACAGAGCAAGACTCCATCTCAAAAGATAAAAATAAATTAATTAATAAAATAAAATAAAATAACACAACACAAACAACATACTTTTTGGACAAATAACTATATTTTTCAAAACAAAAATATTTAGGGAGAATAACAATGTTGTTTCACATTTTTGCAAACTTCTTTAATGTCTAGCTTCATGTAAGACAACTGGATACTCCTGTCTGTTTCTGCATTCAATTTGTTGCAATATGTTGTTTTGGTTGAGGTATGTGAAGATAATCTGGCTTCACACAGTTATGTAGGTGGAAAAAAGAGGAATATGTTAATATCTTTTTTGTATACATGTGGATATTCATCTTTGATACTATACTAAAACTTGGCAAGTGGTAGTTGCTTAAATGTTAGTTAAAATGTGGGAAATGAAATCGGATCAATTGAACTTCTCACTGTTAAGTACATTAAAATCCAATTATCTATCTAGCAATTTGAATGGTTCTTTTACCTGCATGGCATCATGCGTTCATCATTTGGAAAGTATTGGCTTGCTGAGTTTTGTAGATATATTACATTATACAATATTGAAAAAATATAGTTGTTCATATCACTACTGATCTCATCTATTGTAAGCTGTCAAGTTCATGGTGACAAGTACAATTTTTCCAAACTTCGAATTTTTACTTGAGAGCTCAAATGTTACCATTGGCAAAAAATACAGCAGTAATTTTCCTTGAAGTGTCAGGATCACCACATTGATTTTTGAGAAAATTGCTGCCATATATCCAAGTTTGAATTAACATATTTTGTTAGTTGTCCTTTTAAGTAAAAGTGGTGTTTCATTTAAACATTTAAAAAGTGGCTAGTTCAGCTTGCAACTAAAATAATCCCACAAATGCTTTTACTCAGGACGTTATACTTCAATATGCAGCAGAAGTGCCTTATATGTATTTCCAACTCAATAAATCAAATATTTAAGTGACATATATTCAATAAAATTAATATTTCACTCCTTGATCCAGAGATTTTTAAGTGAAATTTGAATTTTTTTTTTTTGCAAGTACATGTTGAATGGCACTGACTACACCACAGTTTGTTGTGAACGCCTTGATTTATGCTAAGGCAGTTTTTCTCCACCATCACTTTTACACAATTATTGCAAATGTCCCTACATGAACAAGGAAAATAAACTTCTAGTATTATTATGAAGATGGTTTTCATCTCACAAACACCCCTGAAAGGCCTTTGGATTTCCAGGGGTCCATAGACTACACATTAATGAGCACTGGTCTAAACTCTCCAATTAAAAGGCAGAGGTTATCATACAGAGTTAAAAAAAAAAAAAGCAATACCAAACTATATGCTGTCTACAAGAAAGACACTTTAAGTATAAAAACACAAATTGGTCAAGTAGATGAATAATAAAAATATACCATGCAAACACTGATCCTGAAGCAGCTGGAATGGCTATACTAATATTAGATGAAGTAGACATCATGAAAAAGTATATGCCCATTAGTAAAAAGGGACATTTCATAATGATAAAGGATCAATTTATTAAGAAGACATTATAATCCTGAATGTGTATGCACCCAATAACAATGATACTAAAGACATGAAGAAAATATGGCATAACTAAAAGGAGAAATGGTCAAATCCCCAATTATATTTGGAAATTTCAACAGCCCTCTCTCAGCAATTGATAAAAGAAGTAGATAAAAAATTTGTAAGGATATAGAAGCCTCAAATAACATTAACAACAAACCTGACCTAGCTGACATTTGCAAAACAATATATCCCACAACAGAAAATATTCTTGCTTTTGGCCAGGAGCTGTGGCTCATGCCTGTAATCCCAGCACTTTGGGAGGCTGAGGCAGGTGGATCACTTGAGGTCAGGACCCACTGGGTCTCTTCCACAACACGTGGGAATTATTGGAGTACAATTCAAGATGAGATTTAGGTAAGGACACAGAGCCAAACCATATCAGCTCCCATCTCAACAAACTGAAACAAATTAAACTCAAAGCAATTAGAAAGAAGAAAATAATGAAGACAAGACCAGAAATCAATAAAAATAGAAAATAGAAAAGCAATAGAGAAAATGAAGTCAAAAGATGGTTCTATGGTTCTATGAAAATATTTAAAATATTTTTCTTTTTGTCTTTTAAAAACATAATATTTGTATTAAAATTAATAAACTTCTATCTTGACTGATTAAAAAATAAATGAGATTCAAATTACCAGTATCGGGAATGAAAGAAGGGCTATCACTATAAACATATTGATTTTAGGAGGAGTGTAAAAGAATGTTATGATTAACTTTATGCCAATAAATCCAACAATTTACCTGAAATAGAAAAATTTACTAAAAGACATGAAATGCCAAAACTGACACAAGATGAAACAGAAAATCTGAATACCTCCATATCCATTCAATAAACTGAATTTTTCAAAGTCTTCCCACAGAAAAAGAACTCCATGCCTACAGAGCTTTACTGGTGAATTCCATTAAATATTTGAGGTAGAAATAATATCATTTAAACACAAGCTCTTTCCGAAAATAGAGTAAAAGGAACACTTCGCAATTCATTTTATGAGGACAAAATAACCCTGAAAACAAGACATCACAAGAAAAGAATACTACAGACCAATATCTTTTATGAACAGAGATGCAAAATTCTTTTAAAGAATAGCAACTCAAGACCAGCGATATATAGAAAGGATAATACAATGTGACCAAATGGGATTTATCTAGGGAATGCAAGGTTGGTTTAACATTCAAAAATCAACTAACGTAATTTACCATCTTAACAGAACAAAAATAAAAACTAAATAAGTATCCCAATAGATGCAAAAAATGCTTCGAACAAAATTCAACATAAATTTATAATAAAAATTTGTAGCAAACTAGGAATAGAAGGAATTTTTCTCAACCTTATAAAAGGCCCCAATGAGAAAACTACAACTAACATTTTACTTAATGGTGAAATACCCCACCTCCCCTCTCCATTTCTATTCAACGTTATACTGGAGATTCTAACCAGAATAATGAGGTAAAGACATAAAAAGCATACATATTTGAAAGAAAAAATCAAATTGCCTATATTTGCAGATGACAAGATCATATACATATGGAGCTTACATAAAAGCTATTAGAAATTAATAAGTCAATTTAGCAAAGTCCTATAAGATCAATATACAAGTATCAATTCTATTTCTACATGCTGACAACAAATTACCTGAAATTTTTTACTTTGTTAAAAAAGTACCATTTATAATAGCTTCAAAGACCATGGAATACTTAAGAATAAAATTAACAAGCATATGTAAGACCTGTAAATTGAAAACTAAAAAAAAAATTGTTAAGGAAAAATTTAAACTACCTAAATCAGTGAGATATGCCATCATTATGAATTAGAAATTCAATTTCTTTTTTTTCTAGAAATCTGATTTCTTTTTTGCTTTTTTTTGTTGTTGTTGTTGGTTGTTTGTTTTTTGAGACAGGGTCTCACTCTGTCACCTGGGCTAGAGTGCAGTAGTGCCATCTTGTCTCACTGCAATCTCCACATTCTGAGCTCAAGTGATCTTCCCACCTCAGCCTCCTGAGTAGCTAGGACTACAGGTGTGCACCACTATGCCCAGTTAATTTTTTTGTTTGTAGAGATCAATCTGGGCAACATGGTGAAACCCTGGCTCTACAAAAAATACAAAAATTAACTGGGTGTGGTAAAGCAAGCCTGTAGTCCCAGCTACTCCAGAGGCTGAGGTGGGAGAATCACTTGAGCCTGGGAAGTCAAGGTTGCAGTGAGCCATGATTATGCCACTGCACTCCAGCCTGGGCGACAGAATGAAGTTAAGCAAATGGCCCATATAGTCCAGCTATTGCACTCCTAGGTATTTACCAAAGAGAAAAGAAAACATACTTCTACCCAAAGACCTGTACGGGAATATGCATAGTAGTTTTATTCATCATAACCAAAATCTGGGAATAAGTACAATGTCCATCAATAGATGAATAAACAAATTTTGGGATATCCACACCATGACTCCCAGCAGTATTATGGAATAAATAACTGACACACACAGCATGGTTGACTCTCAAGAACAGGATGCTCCGCAAAGACAGCCAGGTACAAAAGAGTACATATTGCATGATTCCCTTTACATGAAATTCCAGAAAGGGCAAAACAAAGCTATAGTTACTGAAAGCAGACAAATAGTTCCCTGGGACCAGTTTCCTGGTGAGAGGTTGACTGCAAAAAGGCACGAGGGAGCCGTGTTCGGTGGGTGGAAATGTTCTTTATTTTGACTATGGTCATTGTTACACAGGTCTATACATTTGCACAAATCTCTTGGGACTGTACATTTAAAATAGCCAGACATGGTGGCACTCACCTGTAGTCCCGACTACTTGGGAGGCTGAGGTGGGAGGATCACTGTAGTCCAGGAGTTCGAGGCTGCAGGAGCTATGACTGCACCACTGCACTCCAGCCTGGGCGACAGAGTGTGACCCTGTCTGAAATAAATAAATAAATAAGATGTTGTATCTTATATAAATAATCCTTGAATAAAGTTGATTTTTTATAAAGAAGCTAGAAATTCAAATTTTTAAACTATGACATTTGCTGGGTGTGGTAGCTCACACCTGTCATCCCAGCACTTTGGGGGGCTGAGGCAGGAGGATTGCTTGTGGCCAGGAGTTTGAGACCAGCTTGGGCAACATAACAAGATGTCATCTCTACAGAAAAAAAATTAAAAATAAAATTAAAAGTTAAAAAAAACGACACCTAATTCAAACTTAAAAAAAAACCTTTTAGACTAAGGTCATGGAACTGTGACCCAGAATTCTGCTCTACAGTTTACCAAGTGTAGTAGCCAAGGTTTTCCAGAGAAATAGAACCAATAGGAGATATAAAATATATATATATATAATGTATAATATATACATATATATGTAAGATGTATAATGTATGTGTTTGTGTGTGTGTGTGTGTGTATACATATATATATAGAGAGAGAGAGAGAGAGAGAGACAGAGAGAGATTTATTATGAGGAATTGGTCCACATGATTATGGAGGCCAAGAAGTCCCACAATCTGCTGTCTGCAAGCCAGAGACCCAGGGAAGCCAGTCATGTAATTTAGTCCAAATCCATGACCCTGAGAACCAGGGAAGTGGGTGGTGTACCTCCCAATCAAGTCTGAAGGCGTGAGAAGGGGGTTTCAGGGCTGGGGAAGCGGAGTGTGGAGGAGAGGAGCACTGGTGTAAGTTCTGGAGTCCGAAGGCCTGAGAACCAAGCACTCTGATGTCCCAGGGCGAGAGATGATGGATGACCCAGCTCAAGAAGAGTGAATCTGTCCTTCCTCCAGCTTTTTGTTCTATCGGGTTTTCAACAGATTAAATGATGCTCTCCCACATTGGTGAGGGCAATTTTCTTTACTCAGTCTTCCAGAAACATCCTCACAGACACACCCAGAAACAATGTGTTACCAGCTCTCTGGGCCTTCCTCAGCCCAGTTGTGACCCAGAAAATTAACAATCACACCAAGTTTTCTGACAAGTCTCTTATGTTAACTTTACAACAACTATTGATTTAAATACTATTATTATCTCAATTTTACAACGAAGTCTCATTACATATTTTTCCCAATTTCACACATAACTCTTATATAGCAAAGCTGGGACACAAACCAGAATCTCAACTTTTCAAATCCTTTGTCTGATCCATTCCATTTTACAGTTATTAACAGGTTTTTCTAAAAAAAAAAATTAAGAATCCTAAGTCTCTTCTTCCTTAACACAATGATGAAATTAATGAGCAAGTGATCTCAAGCTACATCTAATTTCCTTTTTTCCTATTGTTCAACAGGAATAGTCTTGTACTTAGCATCAGCATAGATCCCTTGAGTCCTTAACTTATTTAATACATTTTTAATGCAGTAAGTCTCTCCCCAGTTCAAGTTTCTCTTCTTAGGAATCTCTTATGACTTCCCTCATTTTGTACTCACAGGATTAGATCTCTTTTATATCGCATACTGTTAACAAGGGTAACATGGCAGCCCAAGTCCTAAACTCCATGATCTAACTAAAGAATAGAGAAACATAAAATATTATGTAATTAACATCTTTAGTAAAAAACACTGTTCTTCCACATTATACCAATGTAAGGTGGGCTACTGGAAAAGGGGTTATCAAATGGCAAAATAATATTTAATAATAAGACAAATATAACAATGTATCTATAAATTGTTATGCTTATAAATACGTATACACACATGTGCCTCAGAGTTCCTGTACTCAAAACAAATTTGGAACTTAATAAAATGTATATTAACATTCTGAATGTATTTCTAAGTAGGAATTCTTAATCAACCTGGAACAAGAGACCCTCCTACGAAATACAAAGTAGTAACAGGAATTCCTGTTTCCAGTTGTTGTGATACAAAAAAACACAAAGTGTTTTTCCTAGTCTTTCACTCAACAATCAACATGGAATATTTCTGTGACCTCGGTCACCGAAATCTGCGGAGATTTCTCCCTACCAAGCAATCTTCATAGCTTCTCCTGTGGATACCAGCTGGGTGTCCTCTAATTCAATTCAATTCTGACTCTATCTACCTGGAGATAGCATTACATCCTATAGGTTGAGGGCTCAGTCCTACAAGACTTCCCCCAAATTCAGATGCTAATCATAAGTAGTAGGTTGTCACTTACTCTTCTGACTGGCTATAAATTGGGATTCTCACAGCCCCCTCCTTGCATTCTTAATTTGCTGGAGCAGTTCACAGAACTCAGGGAAACTTTTCACTAAGGAAAAATATTAAGCAGTGCTCCTCAAAGTCAGGTCCATGGATTAATGTCAGCCTGTGAGTGTTCGCTCCCAGTCCAGAAGACAGAAGTCCAGGAACTGAAAGGAAGCATTCTGAAAACTTTACAACAATTTGACAGAGTACTTTTATGTCTGTCGAATCCAAAAATAAACATGTGGGGTTTGTATTTTGCATGTCTTTGTTTTTTTCATTTAATTTTTTCCTCTAGTAATTCATGTTATTGTACTTTTAAAAAATACTAGGCTGTGATGATTAAAAGAAAAAAAAGACAAGTCTTTCACCACAGATAGTTTAAGAAGCACTCTATTAAAGGAGGTACTTCTGGAAGGATGATCCAAGATGCATGAAATAATGGAGAGGAAAGAAAATGGTAACTATTTGTATAAACAAAACAATTAGTCACTGTATCAACATTAATAATAATATCTTGTGGGGATTTTAAAAAATGATATTTAAAGATACACTATTGCAAAAATATATTCAATTGGTAGGTGTGGAGATAATAGGGTTCAAGCATTACAATTATGGAGACCAAAAAAGAATTTTTTTGTTGTTGGTTTTTATCCCTTCCATCACTCTAGGAAGAGGGTAAAGGTACTGATTACCTTTAGGCTTCAAAAGTGTAATTGTGTGTGTTGTGATTTCTAAAGTCATTACTAAAATAATAGACAATGAGATTAGTTGCCAAATTCATAGAGGAAAGAAAATGACAAGAAGAAATCAGTCAAAAGAAAGGTAAGAACAGTGTCAGGCTAAGGGTCATACACATGTACCACTAACAGGCCAGGACACAAATGCGAAGTCAGGTGTATTAGGGAAACTTGAAGGCAGAGAGCAGCTGCAAATACCACCCAGGCTCTCACTTGTCAGTATCACACAGGGAGGCACGCCTGAGGAGCAGAGCTCCAGCGGAAGGATCCTGTCCTCTGCGATTCTATGTATTCATAAGGGACATGGAAGGAGGCAGGGGTCACCAATGAGGCCCTCTAACAGTCAAGATTTCCTGGTCAAGAAAATGATCTTAGGTTAGGGGGTTCTGGAACTCAGCTAATAGTATTTTCCAGAAACTTTATGTGCTTTTATTGAGCTAGTTTCTTCCAAATGAGCTGCTTGTTAAGCTACAGAAAGTGAAGGTGAAAATTAGGACCAACTCTTTTAAAAGGAGAGGAAAAGGAGGCAGAATTAACAGAAAATCTCAAATAGGATAGTGATTTTTTAAAAACACAGTTTTGTCAATTGTTATATTAAATGTAAATGAACTAAATCCTCTGGTTAAAAGACAAAAATTTCAGACTTCACTTTAAAAATCCATACAAAGCATAAGTATATAAAAAGGTTTAAAATAAAAGGACAAAAAAGGGTGCTCTATGTAAATACTAACCAAATAAAAGCTGACATAGTCACACATACATACACACACACTCAGATATATATGTATATTACATGTATATACCTATATGTATATATGTGTATTACATGTATATACCTATATGTATATATGTGTATTACATGTATATACCTATATGTATATATGTGTATTACATGTATATACATATATGTATATATGTGTGTATATATATATATACTTATAACCATATGTGTGTATAGCTCTGTTGTGCTCTGTCTGTTGTCTCTTTTTATGCACACACACACACGTGTGCACACACAAACACACAGGAACACATACACTCATGCATTGTTTAATGACAGGGATGTATTTTGAGAAATCTTTCATTAGGCAATTTTGTCATTGTGCAAACATCACAGAATGTACTTACACAAACCTAGATGGTATGGCCTACTATATACCTAGGCCTACTACACACCTATTGCTGCTATGCTGCAAACCTGTACAGCATGTTACTGTGCTGAATACCATAGGCTTACTGGTAGGTATAACATAATGGTAAGTGTTTGTGTATCTAAACATAGAAAAGGTATAGTAAAAATACAGTATTATACTCTTATGGGATGACTGTCATATCTGTGGTCCATTATTGACCAAAATGTTATTATGTGGCACATGACTGTGTGTGTGTGTGTGTGCGCGTGTGTGTATATGTGTGTGTATAGTTTTCAACATGAGATGAAATAGATACTATGGTCAAAAGCATTATTAAAGAGGGTCGCTTCATAATAATAAAAGGTTCAATTCATCAGGAAGCCATAAGAATTCTAAATTTGTATGTTTCTAATAACATTGCCTTAAAATACATAAATAAAAAACTGACAAAATGTCAAGAAAAATAGACAAATTCACATCAGAGTAGAGAGATTTTAACATTCCTCTCTCAGTAATTGATAGATTATGGAGACCAAAAAAGATCAGTAAAGATATAAAAAATTTTAACAATATGCTTATAATTTTTTAAAAATTTTATAATGAACATATATAGAACACAACACCCAACAGCTGCAGAATACATATTCTTTTCAAGCACACACGTAGAATATTTACAAAAATTTACAAAAAGCTGGGACTGGGACACAAAGCAAGCCTCAATAAATTTTAGGATTGAAATTGTGCAAAGTATATTCTCATATTTTGGAGAATTGAGAAATAAAATTCTAAGGAGAAATCATAACACAAAAATTTTTTTGAACTAAAAGGTAATTAAAATATGACATCTCAAACATATAAGACATCACTAAATACGTTATTAGAGAAAAATGTATAGATGTACATCCATATATTGAAAAAGAAGGCAGGCACGGTAGCTTACACTTGTAATCCCAGCACTTTGGGAGGCCAAGGCTGGAGGATTGTTTGAGAAGAAAGGCTGAAAGTGAATAAGCTATTCATCTATCTCAAGAAGTTAGAAAAAGAACAGCAAAATAAAAGAAAGTAGAAGACAATAATAAAGACAGCAGCAATTAATGAATTACAAAACAAGTATAAAATAAAGATAGTCAACTAACCCCACATTTGCATTTTTTAAAACACTGGTAAAATTGACAAACCTCTGGTGAGAATCAACCAGGAGAAAGAGAAGGAGAAAGAGAGTGCATTAATAACCAATATCAGGAATGAAAAAGAGGATATTACAGATTCTTAGACATTAAAAAGAAAATAAGGAAGTATTATAAAATCTTTGTCAATAAATTTGAGTTTAAATGAAATAAATTCCTAAAATAATCACGATATATTCATTCAACAAAATATCACATAGCAGTAAAATGAAAAAATACAGCCACTCACAACATAGATGAAACTTAAATACATATTATTGAGAACAAGGAGGAAATAAAAAATAAACTTACATATTAACTGATACATCAGAGGAAACACCATGATGAGAACCAAAGAAATGATTATCCCAAAGATGGGGGAGTGGGTAGTGGTTACTCTTGAGGGGAGAGGGGCTATGATTGGGGAAGAGCACAGTGCATCCTGGAGTTCTGCTTACGCTGCTTTCTGGACCTGGGTGGTATTAATAGTTACATAGGCGTTTGCTTTAAAATGATTGGATTGGGCAGATCACGAGGTCAGGAGATCGAGACCATCCTGGCCAACATGGTGAAACCCTGTCTCTACTAAAAAAAAAAAAAAAAAAAAAAAAAAAAAAAAAAAACTGGCCGGGCGCGGTGGTTCATGCCTGTAATCCCAGCACGTTGGGAGGCCCAGGCGGGCAGATCAAGCGGTCAGGAAATCGAGACCATCAAGGCTAACACGGTGAAACCCCGTCTCTACCAAAATACAAAAAATTAGCCGGGCATGGTGGCGGGCGCCTGTAGTTCCAGCTACTCGGGAGGCTGAGGCAGGAGAATGGCGTGAACCCGGGAGGCGGAGCTTGCAGTGAGCTGAGATCACACCACTGCACTCCAGCCTGGGAGACAGAGCAAGACTCTGTCTCAGAAAAAACAAAACAAAACAAAACAAAAAAACTAGCCGGGCTTGCTGGTGCGCACTTGTAGTCCCAGTTACTTGGGAGGCCGAGGCAGGGGAATCCAGGGGAATCACTTGAACCTGGGGGGGCGGAGCTTGCAGTGAGCCGAGATCGCGCCACTGCACTCCAGCCTGGCGAAAGAGCGAGACTCCATCTCAAAAACAAAAACAAACAAAAAACAACAACAACAAAAAGATGATTGCCAATCTACATACACATTTTATATACTTTCTACATAAATATTACATCCCATAATTTTTAAAAAATAATACAGAACTAAAAAGAAAGTCATGTGGGTACATTATTTCACTCATTAGTTCTCTCTCATTCAAACACAATATGTTGCACACTCTAACAAAAGCATTCTTTTCTAAGTTACTAACACATGATTATGGAGGCTGAGATACCCCATGATTTGCCTTCTGCAAGCTGAAGACGGAGGAATGCCAGCGGTACAGTTTGAAGACCTGAGAACAGAGAGCCAATGGTGTAGATCAACCTTGTCCAACCCGCGGCCTGAGGGTGGAATGCGGCCCAGGATGGCTTTGAAGGCATCTGAACACAAATTCGTAAACTTTCTTAAAGCATTATGAGATTTTTTTCTTTTCTTTTTTTTTTCTAGCTCATCAGCTATGATTAGTGTTAGCGTATTTTATGTCTGTGTGACCCAAGACAATTCTTCTTCCAGTGTGGCCCAGGGAAGTCAGAAGATTGGACACCCCTGTAGATTCTAGTCCTAGTCTGAAGGCCTGGGAACCTGGAGCACCAAGGGCAGTTCCAGCTCATCAGGCAGAGTGAGAGATTCCTCCCTTCCTCCACTTCTTGTTTTATTCAGGCCCTCTATGGTAGGGACTATGATCAGCCACACCCGGGGAGGGTATGTGCTTTACTCAGTCTACTGATTGACATGCTAATCTCTTCCAGAAACCCCTTTACAGACACATCCAGAAAGAATGCTCACTAGATGTCTGGGCGTCCTCTTAAACATAATTAGCTGAGGGTGGTGGTGCACACCTGTAGTCCAAGCTACTCAGGAGGCTGAGGTGGGAGGATCACCTGAGCTCAGGAGTTTGAGGCTGCAGTGAACTATGATCATGCCACGGCACTCCAGCCTGGGCAACAGAGCCAGACGCTGTCTCTAAAAAAAATTGAAAATTAAAAAAAAAGAAAACTCTTAGCCAATAGGGCTGAAATATAATCTCTGTTTGGAGTCCAGTCTGTGTAACTCTTCTCTTTTTGTCAAAGTTCTGCTGATGCTCTTCTAGTATCTCACACTTTTTTATTGGTCTATGCTTCTCTGCCACTTCCTCATGTTTGGTTCTTTATTATTATTTGTGAGAAATGCTCCGTGTTTCTGTGACTGCTCAAAGATTACTTCTTTTGAAAGTCTTTTTGGAAGGAAAAATAGCTTCTAACTGGAGAGTTAGGTAATGAAGATGCTTTTCTATTGGATATAAATGTTGTCACCTGGTGCATCATTATCCAGCCTTTCTAGGGTTCCTATTTCATTTCCACCATGTTGTAGTCTCTACCACAGCACACTTAACTCACAATTTGGGGCTTGTTTTTACATGCATTAGTTAGATATTAAGTATCGGGTGAATTGGAGAAAAGCATCAGGTTAATTATGAAATAAATGGGGAGAAAATGTAAATGGATCTAAAAAGAATTTTTGAATTTGAGTATGTTGTATTGTCGAGATATGTCCTTTAAGTCTGAATTGAAGGATGTGGCAAATAGTGGTGTGTTTTTTTTATTTCAAAGTCAGGACATGAATCATGTAATTGGTAAATGGATTTAAAAAGCGCTCCGGCATCAGGATTTAAGAAAGGCTTCTGGTGAATGTAGAAACAAAGGAAGATCAAGTGAGGGAAAACCGAGTTCCATCTTAAAATCTGATGTTTTGGAAAAGAGTTGGGGGTAGCTGCAGGTGGCAACCCTTGAAACAGTCATTGGGCAGTCAGGGGTGGGAGTCTGAAGGCATGTTTTGAAAATTTTAAAAGTAATTCTGGAATAAGGTATCTAATGGGAAACAGACTTGCTTCCTGTTGTTTCCCATGGCACAGGGATAATCATTTAAGAATAATTGGCAATCGAATAATTGTTATTTAACTTACAATGGAGACCATTGTAAGTTTTTCTTACAGTGATTTGGGTTGATATATTTAAAAATTTACCTCTTCCTCTTTCTAAAGTCATGATGTTACAATTTGAAAACACATTGATTGAATTTGGGGCGGTCCTCAAACACGACTAGATTCAAAAGCTGAATAGATGGGTTGACAAATGAGGACACTGTTACCAGTTTAATCCCCATATGGGCCAATTAGTTTCACATAGAGAAGAACTCTGTTCCAAAGCCACAGATTGCACCATTAACCCCAGTCAGCCGTCTCCAAATTGAGTGTCATTGATCACAAGAGGCCCAGGTATGAGTGTCGATAGCTCAGCACAAACCCATCATCACCTCTGAGAGCAGAGCCCTCCTGTTATCTCATACATCCCTCATCCCAGACATGCCAGAGAATGTTACAGTAGGTTGGAGAAGTTGAAGGCCCCTCTGTGCCTCCACTTCCTGCACCCCACAATGTTATTATAAAAGGTGAAAAATTGTAGTTACGTAGCTTCCATTTTTGTATGAAATCTACATGCTTTAGAGGAAATTGATAATAGCATTATTGATAAGCAATATGACTGACAAGCAACAAATGATTTACGAATTCATTTCATTAACACTTAAGGGTACCTCAGAAATTCTACCATTGCCTCAAACAGCTGAGAAAAGCCAAATACGTGTTTTATAGCTCTTAGAACCTTATTACTTCTGGCTAGTTTGTAGAGTAATAAAATTTAATGTCAGGAGTAGAATTATATTAAATGTGAAATCTGTAAAAGATGACACCTAAAGTACTCGACTGGTCTAAAATGTAAATTTTTCTTAATCTTGTTTATTCTCAAAACAAACCAAATCATACCTAACTTCTTGCTACAGAAAAATTTCAGTGCCATCCTTAACTTGGGACTCAGCTCAGCCTGCAAAATCATCTCAAGGAGTAATTTGGGGTAAAATGAGGTCAAATTAAGGTAATTTAAAAATAGACATAATAAAAATAGTGCCATCCCTACCATCACTTCTACAAACCTATAAGAGATGTTGTGATATATGGATTCATTTAGCATACTTATCTTTTGGTAATAAAATGTAATTAACTTCATGATAAAACTGATTTTAGCAAAAAGCTGATGCAGTTTTTCTGTGTAACAGAGCCAATACGCTTGGTTTTTTTTATGAATCTTTCGAACAAAGCCAAACATTTGGAGAATAAAGGAACAATGATTTAAATCCAATGGCTGGGGGTCTGGGTAGATTTGTGATCCACTCCTTCTCAGGCAGGAATTACCTGCATACAGGACTAGAGTTCAGAGATATTTTCTAAATGTTGGAACGACTGTATTTTTCTTTATCTTCTGTCCGTGTGATGTTTCTTTTTGCATTCCTTGTCACTCTTGACTTGCTATTTCTTATCCTAAAGAGACACCCAAACACTAAACAGTTTTCCCTCCCTTCCAAAAGTACTATATAGTAAAGGTTTCGGAGAATTAAATAGCTAACCCTTTCTCCCCCTTGTAAATCTGGATCCCAATTGAGAAATACAATACAAAAAAGAATGGACACTGGCAAAGAAAATAGCAGCTTGACATTAGTAAAAGCTGGATTGGAGGATGTGTATTAGGCCCACAGACAAATGGGCTTGCAAACACTTTCCCCTAGAACCAGAACAGTACATGCCACACCCACAGGACAGGCCTCTTTTGGTATGAGGGAGCATTTGGGCCAACCCGTCTTCCAAACAGGGGACCCCAGAATGGGCTAAGTGCCCAGTACTTTCCCCCGGACTCCTCCATCAGATAAGTCTCTGGTGAGGCGGGAGTCAGGGATGACACAGGCTAGGAATGTAACTTTCATCCACATGGAAACAAGAGGGCAGAAAGAAAGGAGGTTGTCCCACCACACAGCTATTCGTTCTTTAAACTTGGATTTTCCCAAGGCATGCTGGAGTTCCTTCCTACAGTACTGACGGTGATTCCGAGGGACCTGTGCTGTCATAAGGTTGATGTGTTTTCTCAAGTTGGATTCCCAGTGAGACAGACTCTGGGATGGAGACAGCACTGCAGGAAGTTTGTGGGGTGTGCTCTCACAATCAATGACTGTCCGGGGTGAAGGAGGCAGGATTGGGCAGGGGGAAAGTGCTGTGCAGTCACAACAAAGACCCCAGCTGATCTCCTGGTAGGGGCTGTGGGGATGGGAGAGACACGCCCAGTGTGCCCATCTTTATAGGCCAGCGGACTCCTCCTGAACTGAGGCAAGGGGGCTGGACTTTCCACCTTCAGACCGTATGGTCACTGAGAAGGGGGTGTAATTTGCGGTAGAGTGGCTCTCTCAGTAGATGGCAATTCCTAGAAAAGGGGCTTAAGTGTCAGTGGCCAACAGTTCCAGCAGCTGGTGAAGTGGCTGCTTCCATCCTGAAAGGAGGGGGCTGCGGATCCCGGCAGTGACTGCAGCATCCACAACTTCAATGAAGGAAGTCGAATGCAATACATATACCACCTAACGCTCAAGGAAGTAAACTGTGTTATGGTTCTGTCTTCATCCTACATTATTTCCAACAGGCATCCAACAAGCATTACCACGTGGCCCTTCCTCCTCCATGCCATGAAGCATGAAACCTGTCACATTTCTCCCAGCCCTCTACAGAACTCTATCTACGCACATCCTTTTCACATTCACTCGTGTTCCAGAGGTGTACACCCTCCCTTCAAGGTGTATCCCTTTCTGTTGATTTTCCTCCCATATCCTTCAGAATCATTCCTTAGTATGTGACCTATTTTTCCTTCATTTTCAAGCTCTCCCTCTCAACTAGTTCTTTCTTTTCCCCCATTTATATTATCTAGTTTCTCTCATTCTTTTTTAAAAATTGTTTAAAAAATTTTTAAAGAGATGGGGTCTCACTGTATTGCCCAGGCTGGCCTCAAACTTATGGTCTCAAAGGATCCTCTCACCTCAGCCTCCCGAGTAGCTGCAACACCATGCCCGGCTCTTCATTCTTAATTTTTTTTAAAAAAAGAAGTTTCATCACCTTGGATCCCTTTCTGGCTATCATTCATTTCCCAAATTCAGGTGTGTAGGAAATGTAACATTATTTCTAGAACTCAACTCCATTTCTATTTTGGGCCTCCATTTTGCTGCGTGGTTGGAAAGTTCCTATCTGCCTGGGATTGTGATGATGCTCTGGAGGGAAGGCAGTGGGGAGAGTGACTTGCATGGGAGCAATTTGTCTGGACAGAGAAGGGCTACTTGTCTTGGTTGTCTGTTCATACTGTTGTCCTCTGAGATATTGGTCATCTTGATTGCCCCTTGATTGTTTGTCCTCAAAGTTACTTCTGATCTGTTCCTCTCTCCCCTCATTTCCATTTGCTGGTGTGCTGGAACCATGATGCTGATCCTGCACCATTGTAGGGCATGGAATCGCAGAAATCGTCCTAAATCCTGTGCAAACTCAGAAATCCTGATCACACTGGGATTACTGTGTTGCTGCCCAGGTTACACTGGGCCCCAGGATGCCCCGAGGGGCCTGCCTTCATTCACCATCAGGACATATCTACATCTGGTCCTTCCTTCCATCTAGGCTCCCTTAAGGAAAGGAAGCACAACTTCCCTCTTCTTTGGGAATCCTGAAGCCTGTCAGGTTGTTCACTCATCCTCTTTCTTGTGCTGTCCCCATGGGGCAGGTAATAGAACCAACCTCTCTTCCTCCTGCTAGACTGACATTCTTTCTAGTGGTGGTGGTGGTGGTGATGTGCATGAAACCTTGTTCTTACAGCATCACATCTTCTCCCTCATCTACTGTTTTAAGCCCCAGAGTCATTTCTATTTCCCACTGAGGGCTAGGCTTCTGAAACTACAAAGCCAGGAAAGGTCCTTTCGTCATTTCTCTGCTCTGTCATCTGCTTCCTGAGGCAAGGATCTTCTAGTTCACTCGACAGCCAGTAAGGACCATGGGGAGTCAGAAACTAGGGAACAACAGTTAATATCCCGGACTACTGTAACGTGCAGCTAGATGTAAGCAAAGTGCCGGCACAGAACTTGGCTCCCAGCAGGTTTCAATAAATATCAGTTTCTCCCCTCATCTCTCCTTGTTTCCCTCTTCCTCAATTTAAAGGCAGTTCAACGAAGCTTTCAATCCCATTACACCATGAAATTACTTCAACCAAGGTAAGCAATGACTTCCCAATTGTAAAATTCTGTAGGCAATTATCAGACTTGATCTTTTATTTCACCTCTGTGCAACATTCCCACTGCCAAACGCTGCCTTTTCTTGACATTCTGTCCCACCTTGGCTTTCATAACTCGTTTTCTCTTCCCACCTATTTGACTTTTTTTCCTCCATCTCCTTTTGCCCTCCAGTGTTAGTGCTTCCTAAGGTTTGGTTCTTATATCACATTGCTATTCGGAGCCACTTACCCCACGCTCTGATGCAAGCCTACATCCAGACCAAGTCTTTTAGTCAGATCCCTCCATTTCCATATTCAAAAGTGCTTCTGATATTAAATCAGTAGAGCGCTCAGTGGAGCACTTTGCACAAAGTAAGAACTCAACCGTGTTAGCTATAGTGTGGATTGCTCTATCTACCTGGAAGTCTCACAGGTGCATTTGCATTTTAACATGTCCAAAACGACTCATCTTCTTTTCTCTTCATAACCCGGCCTCTTGCCAACCTTATTCTCCAAAATTAGCAACAATAACCATAGTGTGTGCATGTTTGTCCATACACACACAGTCCATTCCTCCTCCCAGTGCCAGGGAGGGGAGAATTCTGGGCATCATCCTTCACTCCTTCTTCTATTTACTACCCCTCTGCCCGCCAACTGATCACTCATTCCTGTTGATTCTATATCATAAGTTATTTAAGAGTCTTCCTTCTCCCTCTCCACTGCTCCTGCATTCATATAGACAGCTCAAACTGGACTTGAATTATCGTATCACTTATGTCACTGAGACCTTCCCCCACCTATTTTATTTTCTTGGAGTCCCCAGTGTTATTCTCTTGTGTTTTTTGGGGTGCTCTTTTCACTGCAGGAATGTCCTCCTCCCTCTGCCTGATCAACTTTGGACCTCATTTTAATGCTCAGCTAAAATATCAATAACCTGTCTTTAGGTTGACCTGACTTACTCCCTCTCATTTCACTATTAATTGCTCCCAATGGTGTGTTCTCATACCCTTTTATACATATTTCTCTCATAGCACTTATTTGTTTTATAGTCACTTATTCATGTTGGTCTCCCTGGTAGCTGGAGCTTCTTGGAAGGAGACTCTGTGTTGAACTTAAATCGATCTCTAGACCTTTATCTATAGAGAGAGTCAAGAAATGTTTATGGAATTAAGTTGAAGTGAATGCCAAAATACAAACTGTATGATCTAAGGCTTAAAGCATTTTATCAGGGAAGACAATGGGACTAGGTAAATATGCAAATAAGTTTTATGATACCCTGAGTGGAGATTTAAGAAAAACAGGGTTATCATAACCACCATTAAGGAGAGAGTGCATGAAGAGTAATGAAAATTGGAGTCTTTTTCCTCACTCTTCATAAGTTTTCCCTTATGGATTATTTGAAGAAGCTTCTGCTCATAAATACGATTTCTAGATGTCACATAACTCAAAGACTTTCTCAGATATTTGGAAGAAGAAGACAGCTATAAGGAAGTAACTTTTCAGAAGATGAGGGGTAGAAAGAGACAAGGTAGGCAAACATGACATGCGTATTTATCAAATTGTTATTCTCTGAACATTGTATACTCAAAGATCCCAATAGCACTTTGAATGAAGCAAGAAAAAGTTAAGGAGTTTAAACTACGCCCCAAAGTCCAATATTTTCTCAATTTTTAATACCTTGATAAAGAACAAAGGAAGGCAAACCCTCTCTTTGGTAATCATAGACATTAAAGGGAAATCAAGGCAGTCTTACATTATTTTTAAAAATCTGGCCAGGTGTGATGGCTCATGCCTGTAATCCCAGCACTTTGGGAGGCCAAGGCGGGCGGATCACCTGAGGTCAGGAGTTCGAGACCAGCCTGGCCAACATGGCAAAACCTCCCTCTACTAAAAGTACAAAAAAAATTAGCCAGGCATGGTGGCACACACCTGTAGTCCCAGCTACTCGGGAGGCTGAGGCAGGAGAATCACTTGAACCTGGGAGGCGGAGGGTGCAGTGAGCCAAGAATGTGCCACTCCACTCCAGCCTAGGCAACAGAGCAAGACTCCATCTCAAAAAAAAAGTATGCAAAAATCCATCATTTATGATTCATGCCTGCATCTAGAGGTTTTCATAGCTCAGCATGACCTTTGTGCAAGTGACCGACTCTCATACAAATTGTACATTTATCCTTTTTTATACTTGATTTTGTGGCATCTATATCATAGCATCTTCTGAGATAAAATTTCAAAGGGTTCAACTTTAAATTGCTTAATAAAAAATTTGAGAAATTAGCTAAGGGCAAGAGTCTCTAAAAATATTTAATAGTAACGTAGGTAATAATGTATGAAAAAGGCAATTTGTTGGAACATATTTATCAAACAGAAATACAAATATGTAGAGAAGACACTATTTTAATTAATTTTGTGCCTTGAACACCTGTTAAATATCTTATTCAGTAATAGCTGATAATTTTTTAATACATGTGAGCACACATCTAAATAAGCAACAGAGAAAATAGTTACAGCATAGAGAAGATTTTTTTGTCTTTTTTTGAGATAGAGACGTGCTCTGTCACCCAGGCTGCAGTGCAGTGGTGCAATCATAGCTCACTGCAGCCTCAACCACCCGGGCTCAAGTTATCCTCTCACCTTAACCCCTTCAACCACCAATAGCTGGGACTACAGGCGTGAACCACCATGCCTGGATAATTAAAAAAAATAACTTTAGTAGAGATAAGGTTTTGCTATGTTGCCCAGGCTAGTCTTGAACTCCTGAGCTCAAGTGATTCTCCTGCCTTGGCCTCCCAAAATGCTGGGATTACAGGCATGAGCCACTGCATTTTGAATGAGGCAAGAGAATATGCTTTTTAATAGGAATTTTAAATTGAAGTTTCAACTGAGATCTCAAGATACAAAAGTATGAAATTTCAAGCTTGGTCACTATTATGAAGGAAAGAATTCAAAACCAAATCTATGACTCAAATACTCTCATCCACTTAAAACATATACAATAGTGGAGAAAATTCAAGATAGGTTTGTGGAAGGGAGACTTGCACTCATCACCTCCTGTGCAGAGAAAATGGAGGATGTTTCTTCGGCTCATGCCGGGGACTTCCACGGGTTTCCATTGATTGTGTGGAGAGCTTGGAATGTGTTTCCTGCAATGGGGGTTGGATGCAGGGCAGGGGCATTTTGTGGACTGGGATCTGACTCCCATTCAGAAAACTGGGAAACAGGCTGCCCAACTGCTTGGAAGAGAATGGCCTGCTGGGCAAAGAATGTTTCAATGTTTTCTGTAGCCCAGAGTCCTATGGGAGGGAGAGAACTTGCCTGGAGCCATCTGGAGTTGCGCCTATGAGACTTTCTCCCAGAGGGGTGAGAAGACTCCAATAGGACTGAAGAAACTAAAGCTGAGGGGCCATCAGGAGCGCCAGCTGAAGGTAAGGGTGCATTACCCACATCGCAGAGATTGCAGTTAGGGTAGCCCAGAAGCAACTCTCCGAAAAGCCCCTGGACAGCTAGCATGAAGCACATGCCGGCAGCCTCATGGGCATGCTACCTGTACGGAATACAGGCTTGTGTACTTGGCTTAACGCTCTGCTCTCAAAAAGTTTTAAATTCTTAACTCTTCTCCAGCAAGGGGCCCAGCATTTTCATTATGCACTGGGCCTTGCAAATCATGTAGCTGGTTCTGTGTGCTAGGCTGAGAGAGTGCAAAGCTGGCTGACAGCGGTACCAGCTGGGTAAGAACTGTTTTGTCCTTCACCCAGAGACTGACTTGTGGAGTGGAAGAGGAAAATAAGATAGAGAAATAGAGAAGCTGAGCCTGCCTGCTTTCCCCACTACAAAGTTTGAATTCTAAATCAAATTCAGAGCTTTGATTCAAATCCAATTACTGAATCGAGATAGTGTTTGCAATTTAAAATGGTCATAGTTCTGTCTAGTCAACAGAAAAATTCTGAGACTGATTTTCTCCTACTATAAAAAGCCAGTATTATTTAACAAAATAGCACAGAATCAACAATTGAAGGACTTCATAGAGGGTTAAAATAGTGAGATGTAGATTTGAAACTTTTCAGTTAATTGTGAAAGTGTTTTGATTGGCAGAAGAAACTGTGTTTTAAAATGGATGGGGAAACTTTCTGGAACAGGACAGTATTTACATGAGATAACCGAGGAAGAAGTTGAGGTAATTATCCAGGTGAAGGTTGGAAATTTACTGTTGTTATTTCACTGCTAGCTGTTGCATGGGAAAGTCCAATCCCCACAGAGCTGATTCAGAAACAACTAGAAATGCACACCACCTCAGGAAGTTAACATTACATACTAAAATGAGGCTGTAGGATTATAATATGTATTAATTTATCACATACCACGATTCTCCTGCACAGCCAGGAATAATAATTGTGTATGCTTGTTGCTTTGGAATTAGAACATGAATTCTAGCTCGATGCTCCACAAGCAGTTATTTATTAGTGGTCAGTAACTTTTTGTGACCCAAGTGTCCTGAAATATTAAATGTAATGTCCAGAGATTGCTTAAGTTGCTAACAGATTTAGCCGTCTGACAATGAGAATATGAACAAAAAAAATTCATTCATACTCTAATAACATAGCAAAAAAATAAAACCTGAGAACAAAATAAGAGGGAGGTTTCCACAGGGCTTTAAGTAACCCAGATTCACACAGCACCAGATTAGTGATATATCTGGCCCTTGGCTATGCTCATATGTTCTTGTACAGGCACCTGGCCTGTGCCTTAAGAAAGACATCAGGACTTTGGGAGGCTGAGGTGGGCGGATCACGAGGTCAGGAGATCGAGACCATCCTGGCCAACATGGGGAAACCCCATCTCTACTAAAAATACAAAAATTAGCTGGGCGTGGTGGCAGGCGCCTGTAATCCCAGCTACTCGGGAGGCTGAAGCAGGAGAATCACTTGAACCCGAGAGGTGGAGTTGCAGTGAGCCGAGATCATGCCACTGCACTCCAGCCTGGTGACAGAGCCAGACTCTGTCTAAAAAAAAAAAAAAAAACAGAAAAACAGACAGACAGACAGACAGACATCAGGGAAAGGGAGAAAAAGACAATTAGTACTGATAACTATTGTAATGAACTGTGTGCCTTAGTCAGTTTGGGATGCTGTAAGAAAAATATCACAGATTGGGAGGCTTAACCAACAGAAATTTAAGCTATACTCCTTTAGAAATTGTTCTATTAATCATCTAGAATATATTCACTAATTACAGCTGTAGACTTAACGTGGTTATTTCAGAACCAACTGTGGCAGAGAGTGCCAATATAGATTTTTGTATTTGTTTGTAGCAGCTATTGTTAGTTTAACATAAATATATTCACATTTATGGTAAAGGAATCTTAGCTTGCTGACCACTCACTGTGTTTTAGATACTAATATTTCATAAAATTTAATTCACATAAGTTGTTGAAGTAGTTGTAACTGCCATTTCACAAATAAGGAAATATAAGGCTTAGAAAAATTAAGTAACTTGCCTGAGATGAGACAAACTCTGCAGAGAGAGGATTTGAACTCTGGTCTGCAAGTCTCCAAAGCACTTTTATGTTCTTTCCAATAAATCACGTTACATCCCAAGAGGAAAATACTATATAAACTGTACATAGTACACAGATTTATTAGAGCCGTCATTAGAACATTAGAACATGTATTTCTTCCACAAACAGGTATTCTGTGTCTGCTTTGTTCCATGCCCTCTCCTAGGATGACACACCCTTTCTATTAAGACAGAAGAGCAGTAACTTAATTTTTGTTATGTGATGCCCTGGTCTGAATTTTTGTGTTTCCCCAAATTCATAGATTGAAATCCTAACTTCCAAAGTGTGTTAGTAGATGGGGCCTTTGGGAGGTGATTAAGTCATGAGGGTTTGAGCCCTCAAGAATGGGATTAGTGCCCTTATAAAAGAGGCTCAAGATGGCTGGGAACATTAACTCATGCTGGTAGTCTCAGCTACTCAGGAGGCTGAGGCAGGAGGGTTGCCTGAGCCTAGGAGTTCCAGGCTACAGTGAGCTATGATCATGCCACTGCACTCCAGTCTGGGTGACAGAATGAGACACTGTCTCTAAAAAAAAAAAAAAAAAAAAAAAAAAAAAAAAAAAAAAAAACAAAGAAAAAGAAAAAGAGGTCCAAGAGAGTTCCCTCACTCTTTCTAAAATGTGAAGACACAGCAAGAAGTCACCACCTACAAACCAGGAAACGGAACCCTCTTTAGACACCAAATCTGCTGGTGCCATGATCTTGGACTTCCCAGCCTCCAGAACTGTTAGAAATAAATTTCTGTTCTTTATAAGCTACCTAGTTGATGGTATTTTGTTATAGCAGCCTGAATGGACTAAGACATTAGATGCTCTGAAATTCTAAATATCCTTCCAGTTTTAGTTACTCCCAAGAAATGGGGGAAGTACCAAGAAATAGCTCAGTATCAAACTTAGTCATTGGTAGTAAAGAAGAATGAACATTTTTCTTAAAATGAATAAATAACTAATACTGAGAAATGTTAATCTTAAGAATATTTGGTGTAATAAAGAATGAAGGCTTTCTTTGCAAAATTTAGGAGGGACATTCCCAGGGATGAACATGCTGGCTGCACTCCATATTACTGGATGTGATAACAAAATAGAGAAGAAATCTGCCACACACTCTGTATGGAGTACCGACATACCACAATCGGCAGATTCTACCAAATTCATACCGGCATAGTCTAAGAGAAAGAACAACGTTATTTAAATAAATAATATCCCTAATCAATAGTAATTCAATAACAAAATCAAACATGCTTTTATTATGGAAACTTATGAAACTACTATAGTCCACAAGCAAAAATTGAACAGAAATAAAAACTTATAATTCTTCAAATACATGAAGCCGAGAGTATATAATCCATTCTCACATACTGAATTTTAGGGTTTAATCCACCTAAGATTTAATGCAATCTGACCAGACTGGGAGAAATATTTTGAGGTAGTATGGCTCATAAGACACATTCAGTTCTTGTAAATATATTGATGTTAAATTTGGGAACAAATGAACATCTCACTGATAAGAGATATCTAGTAATTCAGTAATTCCGGATACTCTGACTCTCAAAAGTTAAGTATTTAAAGTTTCAGACACTCTTTTTAGTGCTGGTGTCATAAGGGACTATTTTCTTAAAAATAAAAAGCAAGTTGGGGTACTATGGAATAAAAATATGACCTATTTTTGTGTTTTACAGCAAGAAACCTGTAACCCAATAATTTTACCAATAGTGACTGTGAGAGGTCTGATAATTATGGGAATACATTATGTATATTTTATAGATACAACGAAAATAGGACAAAGTCTGTTTATTCATCAGCTCATAGCATGCTGGGAAATATGGGAAAAGGGGAAAGGCATGGTGCAGGACTTTCTCTCAGACGGACTGTGTTATCTTAAAATGGCAAATTTTGCTCCAGGGTGGTCAGGGAGACAAGTTTCCCTTACAAACGGAGAAAACTGACTTTTTTAAAAAACCCTTTTATTTGGTTTCCTACTCCTGTCCACAATCCCAACAGATGCACAGTTCATAAAAGATGTGAACCTGGAAGTATAAATATTAATACCACACAGTACATAAATACCAGGGGGCTACAGTATAAGAAAATGACTACCATAAGAGAGTTGTCAAGACATAGAAAAGCAGAGAATGAAGTGCATGTCAGGAGGAGGAACTCTTCTGCAGAAAGAAGCCACAGACATTAACAAAAATGTTGCAGTGGGAGAAAGTAACAGGTACATCAACAAGGCTAGAGCCACGTGGCGGGATAATAGGGATGCTGCCCAGGTGTTTCCAGAAGCGATAAAACTTGTAAACTTTTATAATTTTCTGAAGTGCGCTGCATGGTAAAATATGGTCATTGTGCAAAAAAGTTGTCCCCAATGCAGTCTCAGGAGTCACTGACTTCAAAATAAAGAAACGGTCTCTTCGTAGTAAATGTAGTACCTCGTGGCTTTCCCAAAGTCATTGAAAACGAATATCCCTAAAAAGGGTGTGATTTCAAGAGTGAATTACGATCCGCCCGCAATCTGTGTACCGTGTGTGGACGAATGCTTGCAGCGAGCGGTGCGGAAGGCTGTTCAGAGAGGTGTTTTTGGTCTGCCGTGGTCTCCTGGGATAGTCAGGAATGATTCTTGCTACGGGCTGACCCGGGTTCCCTCTTCCCCGAGGTGCAGGGGGTGGGGTCGGCTTCTGGACTGCTCCGCGCTCTCCGGTCCCTACCTCATTGGGCACCGCCCACTTCGTGGGCTTCCAGGTGCGAGCCCTCGCGCCGGGCCCATCTCCCCAAGGGGCCGCGGCGGACTGGAGGAGACGCCCGGGGCCTGGCGGCGCGCGCGTCCGCGGCCAGGGCGGGTGGGCGGATGCGCCGAGGAAGCGGCTGGGCGAGGAGCCTCCGCTCCCGGGCCTCGGGTGCCCGCCAAGGGCCACGCGGGCGAGGGGGAAACCCAGAACTTCCCGCCCGGGAGCGACTGCCCCCGCTCCCGGCTCTGGCTGGCTAGGGGGATGTTCTCGCGAGAGGAGAGGGGGCGCGGGGCACCGCTGGTTTGGGGGCGCGGGGAAGCCTGAGGACGAGGGCCGGGCAGGGAGGGGAGCAGAGGCGGCGGGCAGGGCCGGGGACGCGGGGAAGCCGCTCCCGCCAGTCGCCGAGAGCCAGCCCCTGACGTCAGGAGTTTTCCTCAAAGTCAACAACAAGCCCCGCGGCGACGGCGAGAACCGATCGGCGGCGGCCCCGAGCGGGAGGAAGGAGGGGGCGGGGAGGCGGCGGGGGGTCCCCTCAGCGAGGCGCAGCCCGGGAGGAGGCCGCAGAACCCCTCCCCGCGCCGGGCGCGCCCCGGGGCCCAGAGCCGCCGCCCCGCCGGCGTGACCCGGCCCCCGCCCGAGCGGTGTTTTCTGGTGATGAATTTGTAGCCGATATCCGATTCCCATGTAGAGTCTCCGCCTCCTCCTCTCCCCGCCGCCGCCCTCTCTCCTCCCTCCCCCTCCCGCCGCCGCCGCCGCCGCCGCCGCCTCCCGCTCCAGCTCCGCGGCCCGGCCCGGCCGGCTCCCTCCCTCCCTCCCCTGCAGCCCTTCGCTTGCCCTCCCGCCGGCCGCACCGGGCTCCAGGAGGCCAGAGGCTCTGTGGGGTGGGGGGAGGACAGGAGGGGAGGAGGAGGGAGGGGGGACCCCCGAGTCGCCCCCTCTCCTCCCCCCGCCCCCCCCCGGCTCCATCCTCCGCCGCCGCCCGAGCAGCTGCGGGGCCGCCACCGCCGCCGCCGCCGTTGCAGGTAACAGCCACCGCCCCCAACTCTAGCCCCCTCCCCGCCTGGCCTCCACTCCCTCCGGGCCCCGGGCCCCGGTCCGCCCTCCCTGCCTCCCTCAGGCGGGGGATGGCGGCGGGGTGGGGTGAGGCGGGGGCTTCTGGGTTGTCACCGCGCCGGGGGCGTGGGCGGGGGCTGGGTCACCGGAGGCTTCGGGTGTGGGTGTGGAGGCCGGGGGATGCCCAGCGCGGTTGACACCGACACCCCCCGCTTTCCGGGGAAAGCTGGGGGGCGGCGGTGCGCAGCGGGCCGGGGGAGGGGTGTTCCCGGCCTAGCGGTACCGTCTGTGTCTGGGCTGCCCCGGCCCGGCGCCTGCTGTCTGCGCAACTCTCGCTCCTTCCCCTCGCCCCTCCCCGCCCGGGCCGCGCGGCGTGGGGAGGGGGCGCCCGCCTGGACCGGGGGCGGCGGCGAGGTTATATAACGCGTGGAGCGCCGGTGTCAGTGTGTTTGGGTTGGGGGGAGGGAGCCGTCTGCCGCGCGCCCTGGCGCTGAGGCTGTCTGCGCGTGGGGTGGGGTGAAGGCGAGGATGCACAGGCGTCCCCGGGGTCTCCTTCCTTCCCCCACCCTTCCCCGCCACTGGCGCGCAGGAAAAGACGGCACTGGTGGGGTGGGGGGGGGGGTGTGTGTGTGGGAGGTGGGTAACGTGCTTGTCTGTGTTTTTAATAGTAGTGGGGTTTTGATCCGCTTGGGAGTTGTGTGCTAAGAATAGAAATGTGCGGAAGATGCTGGGTTTGGCTGATCCAGTGATGCTGTCGCTGCTGGCGGCGGCGGCAGCTCTGGCTGCAAGTAAACAGACCAGCCTCTTCCTTGTCCACCTCCTCCGGCGCATCGGTCCGCATCAGCCATGATGCCGGTGGGGCCCTTCAGAGCCCAAAGTTGAAGCCTAGCTGGTTGCTGTGTTGACCCTGACGCCGAGGCGGGGTCACCATCCCTTGTTTGGGATTTCCCGGGAATCTACAGTTAGCCTAGAGATAAAGAATCTCGTTGGGGCCAGGTTTTTCCAATACCGGTATTTACTGTTTATGTTCTGAAAGCAGAGGAAATGCTTACCCACAAGTCAAAGCTGGGATGCTCACATTTCTTCCATCAAAATAATGTTGTTATGAAAATAAAACCAACTCATTTCACCAATGTGGCATTTTGGTTGAAAGCCTGGTAGTTTGCAATTGATGAAGTTTCCAAATAGAAAGTCAACAGTGAAACCTATGCATCTATATTGGGTAATTTCTAGCCATAATAAAGTGTTCACACTTTGATTTTAGTTGAGGCTAAAGTAAAAAATAATGGCTTTTTGTAGTTAATACATTGGCAGTTGTCTCAACAGTTTAGACATGTGTTCCGTATTTGGTAAAGCATGGTCATATATGTCTTTTAGTAGAACTATACATCACTAGGCAACCACTGGGTTTTGTCAGTGGTTGAAGCTGACAAATGAGTGAAACTCATTGGTTTAGGTTATGTATTTACTTAGGAAAACGAAGGTGGAAGAGTCTAATAAAGATGGTGTAGGAAATGAAGATTAGTCTTCAGAACTTGAGTATCACTTGCAAAATATGTATAAACGAATACAAACATTCCGGGGGTGGTTGTCTAAAACATGAAAATATTTTATAATTAAAATAGCAACTTATTACTAAGTTACTAGTTTTCCAAGGTTTATGACTTAATGCACAATTATATGCAAGATATATATCCGGACTGTAATTGTTTTCCTTTTGCCAGTACATTATCTTGACTTGGAAAGTTTACCAAGGAGATAGTACTTGAAAGTTTACAGGGAGATGGTACTTGAAGATCTTTTTGTTTTCCTTACTAGGGTTGACCCCAATATCTTTGATTGGCTTGAGGTTCCAGTTTTAAAGTGAGGGAGGACAAATATTACATGAATGAGACTGTTGAAATTTAGATGAATGTAGGGTTTTAGTTTTCAGTTGTGTATTTGCATTGTGGTTTTGCAGCATGTTTTCTTACAGCGTTTTAAAAATAGTCCAAAGTAATCCTGCAAAAATTGTGAAATTATTATTTGTATTCATTTGGTTTTCTTTCCATAATTATTACTGGAGTGAATTGTTTTCCAATTTAAAATTAATTTTTGGCTTAATAATCTTGACATCGACTCTAAATTGTATATGTCAGAGTACTTTAAGGTTTTGCTTTGGACTTTTTAAAAATTAATTTCATAGCTGTAAAATATTTTAAATAAGATTATATTTAACAAATACTGGAGTGTGAACTGTGTGCTGGTTTAATTAAAAACTTTTAATATTTACATTTCATTCAGAAAATCACTGTCAGAAGGAATCTGTTTTCAGAATCACTGCAAATCTAAATAAACGTGTTGATTAAACTTACTAGGGAACAAATGGACTTAGCATAGAGACTTGTGGAAAGTAAGGACTTATTTTTTAAGCTGTAGCTTTTGATGTAAACATCAGAAATTTTCTCATAAAAATTCAGTGGAAATTTCCAGCTATCTGGGTTTCTTTAAAATGAGGAACCTGTTTTACAAATTGATTTTGTAGAAGTTTAGCCTTTACTTAAACTTTGTGTATTTTCGTGAAAAGATAGCTATGTTTTCTTTTGTTATTATATCTTTTAGTTCAAGAATTTGTCCTTGGGAAGGTAAGGCAATCACTGTTAACAACTTGTTAGTTGGATGCTTAGCATGATTTGATAGGAGCTTGTCTTTATAGTGTGATTAAGTTTTGAAGTGTTAAAAAGAAAAATTTAAAACTATCTTAGATTTGAGCAACAAAATGCAAGAACTGAAAAACCATTTTCATTTTGAGCAAATCAGTCTTGTGATCTGACTGGCATTTTTATTTTTAAGTTAATATGCATTAATAATACAATTAATTTTTGTTAGAAGATTTGTGTTACTCCAGGTTTCAGCATGTGCATCAGTATTTTAAATCCTGGTCACACAGCATACCTTCTTTTGGAAAGATAGTCCTGAATCTTCCGACAACAAATACTTTGTCCTGATCTTTTACATGGGATAGGATTAGATTCAGTTTAGAGTTAATGCTAACCAATGCCTGGTAAGCAGTTGCCATGTGCCAGGCACTGTTCTATGTGCTTTACCTGTATTCATTTAATCTTTCAAACAACCCCTGCTACACTTTTGAAAGTGATTTTCACATAAGAAAAACTTATTGTGGCATTCTAAAAATACCTTTTATTTAAACTTTCCTAATTCTGCAACACTTCTAGTGTTTTTCTTGTTTGTACCTATTATTACAGTTAACAGTGATAATTCTAAATTTGCAAAATTTGGTACAATAATTTCCATAGCATCAAGTTAATAAAAGTGTATTGACTGGCCCATTAACATCACCTTTCATTTGTTTAAAATGCCAAATTAAATAACTCAAATGTTTACAGATTTTATTATAGCATCATAGTCTTTAATCAAATTAGATGTAAACTCATTTTCTCTGCCAAGTAATCTTTGAATACTAATGGGTAGATAAAATTAATATATGCTTCTTGACTTGTTGATGTGTTTTTTAGTTCTGTTTCTTTTCAGTACTCTATCACCAACTACAGGTATTTCTCATTTCTAAATATTATGAGAGGAAAGTAAAAAGATTTACTAGAAGAAAACACTAGAATTGCAAATGATAATTTTTCTTCCCTATATTAGATAATTCCTATATATATATGGATGGATTTAAAAAAATTTATAATTAGGGAGATTCCCAAGACAGATTTTAGGAGGATTTTACATGTATATTGGAATCTATATTAGAAAGCTTCTGACTGTATTTGGGGGACTAGGGGATGGGAGGGGAAGGAGGACAGTATTTTTCCAATAATGGAGCTTAGCCCAAATTTTGTCTTAGTTGAAATGCTGTTTGAATGTTTTATCTTCCAATTATCAAACTTTTGAGGACATGAACTATGTATGTATAATCATGTCTTTCACTTATGATGCCATCTATATATGAAGTAGATACTCCGTAGATTTTAACTTGCAGAATCATAAATATTAGCTCTGGAAGAGCTATAAAGCTATTCAGAGTTCATCTAATGCTATACTTTCATTTTTATGGCTCCGGAAACTGAGGCACAGATAATTAAAGTGACCTTATACAGCATCACTCTGGGTGGGGCAGGGACTCAAGTTTCTTGGTCTTTCTGGTGCTCTTCCTAATACACCATTGTGATGAACCTTGTTAGAGGATTCCATACCTATTGGGTAGCTCAGTTTAATCTGGGGGTAAATTCTGTCAAGCTGATTCTTGGTATTTAATGGACCATATATCAATTGCATTTTATATGTATGTATGGATTTTTAAAAATTTATGATGAGGCTCCCAAGACAGATTTTAAAATGATTTTACATGCATATTACAAAAATATGGCCAACTGTGCAACCAAATTCTTTTTCTTTTCTTTTCTTTTTTTTTTTTTTTGAGACAGGTTCTCACTGTAGCACCCAGGCACGGTCACCACTCAGCATAGCCTAGACTTCCTGGGCTCAGGTGATCCTCCCACCTCAGCCTCCTGAGTAGCTGGGACTACAGGTGCCTGCCACCACTCCCAGCTAATTTTTGTATTTTTTGTGGAGATGGGTTTTGCCATGTTGCCCAGGCTGGCCTTGAACTCCTGGACATAAGTGATCCTCCTGCCCTGGCCTCCCAAAGTGCTGGGATTACAAACTAATATCCCTTTTTGACACTCTACAGCAACAGACTCATGGTGATTTTGAGGAGTCTCAGCCTTACCTATAGGTTCTGCCTGTGACCTCATAATACATGAGGCTGGTGGTCTTGCATTCAGCTACATAGCTTTTGTCAGGCTATTTAGTCAGGCTGTCTAGAGAATGTTTAGTCTTGATTCCTGACTGTTAAATGGTTAAGCTCCACACTTAATTTGCATTGAAGAATGACCTGTAGTCTAATTTAGCGCTAGGTTGGGAGTCTAACACTGAACTTAACTGCTATGTATCATTTATCACAAACCAAGTTGAGAGAGTATGTTTGTGTAGTCCATCTATCCATTTTTCTAGTTATCTAAAATTTATGATATGATTCTTGACCACATAACACTGGTGTACCTGGACCACATTTTTTGGTCCCCTTCTGTGCAAATGGATTTACTAATTTTATGTTGGCATTTTCCTTTTTAGTTTGAGAGTGACAATAAGCAATGACCCTGTAAAACTCATTGCTGTATATGGGAGGGTGTTTTTGAGGACTTTCCCGCATACATCTTATGAAGAAGACCCATGGGATAAATTCGATGTTTGTCCCAGGAAAAGTTGTATTTCTTCTGAGGAACTTTTTTTGCTTTTTAAAAAAATTTGTGCAGCGTGGACAATATAGCGGGACCCCATCTCCACAAAAATTTTTTTTAAAAATTAGCTAGGCATGGTGATGCCTGCCTGTAGTCCAGCTCCTCAGGAGGCTGAGGTGGGAGGATTGCTTGACCCCCATTGGAGGCTGCAGTGAGCTATGATTGTGCCACTCTACTCTAGCCTGGATGATGGGGGGAAACCCCATCTCAAAAAAAAATTTTTTTTGGATACTGTAAATAGGAAAGCCTGTTGTGTTTTGTTATTTGCATTGTCTTCCCAAGAGCTCCATGCCAAATTTGTGACGTATCTTTCCCAAGTATGTATGCCTTTACTCTGACTTCTTTTTATCTTAAGGCAGTATAGTTTTGGAATGCAGGCTCTGGAGTCAGACAGCCTGGGTTCAGATCTTGGCTCCACATTTACTAGGTGTGTTGAAATTGAGCAAGTTGGTTTATCTGTGTGAGCCTCAGTTTCCTTGTCTGTGAAATGGAATTAATAGTATCCTCATAAGGTTATAAAGATCACATAAGAATAATAGATGTAAGTACCCGTAACAGTTCTTGGCACATCTTGAGTACTAAATATTTTTTTCTACTTTCATATTCCCTTTGTTTCACTTTACTTTATAATAAGTACATAATATGAAATCAATTATTTTTTAATCTCCTTAAAATATTTCTTGGAACAGGCAGAGTAAGAATACGTAAATGATGAGTTCTTGGTACGTTGTATTTTATATCACTTAAAGTATTCACGACTGGTTGTGGTGGCTCACTTCTGTAATCCCAGCACTTTGGGAGGCTGAGGCGGGTGGATCATGAGGTCAGGAGTTTGAGACCAGCCTGGCCAATATGGTGAAACCCCGTTTCTACTAAAAATACAAAAATTAGCAGGGCGTGGTGGCGCACACCTGTAGTCCCAGCTGCTTGGGAGGCTGAGGCAGAAGAATCGCTTGAACCTGGGAGGTGGAGGTTGCAGTGAGCAGAGATCGCGCCACTGTACTCCAGCCTGGCGACAGAGTGAGATTCCGTTTCAAAAAAAAAAAAAACAAAAAATTTACAATTGCTTCTGAAATTACAGGGATTTAGGGCAATTAACTTTCATTCTCTTCCCTCTTCACCTCAAATACACATCACCAAACAAATTTTCTCTATTATTTGGGTAGGCGTGACTGGTTTTCTTAAGACTTTTTTGTTGCAACCTCTTAGGTTAAAAGTTTCACTATCATTTGAAATTGGTCACAAGACTAGGGAAGTGCTTTCATTATAGAACTATTTAATAAATAAGTTCCCCAGTTTGAAGAGCCAGACTTTTATGTGAGGTCAGGCCAGTTGAAGACATTTACAAAGAATTAGTTGTTTGTTATTGCTCTGTGAGTTGCAAGAATGGAAAAAAAATTCTTTCTTCAATACTTCCTTCCAGGCTGAGTCATCACTAGAGAGTGGGAAGGGCAGCAGCAGCAGAGAATCCAAACCCTAAAGCTGATATCACAAAGTACCATTTCTCCAAGTTGGGGGCTCAGAGGGGAGTCATCATGAGCGATGTTACCATTGTGAAAGAAGGTTGGGTTCAGAAGAGGGGTAAGTGCTCCGCAAACCAAAAATAATACGGTTGGTAAGAGTGCTAGCAGTGAGTGGTGTCTTAGAAGTTGATCTTTTTTCTGATACTGTTAAACTGTGTCATGCTATGTCTAGTAAGAGAGAAATGATATATTTAACGTGTGTTAGGAATTTGCTTGTTATTAAGGGATTTTTTTGTAATTCTTGATTTTGAGCATTTATAATCTAGTTAAGTTAGGTTTGACTTTCTGGTATGTTGTGTGTAGCGTGTTACAGAAAGTGTTGTATTTTTCTGTGGTGTCTACAGGTTCTGTAATCTGGAGAGATATCTTTAGAATCATTTAATATATGTAAAAGTACGATCCTATATGCATTTAATCACATGTAAATATATAAATAAGAGAATTAAGCCAGTTTGAATGGTTGTAGGGGAATGGCTTAAAGTAGAAAAGGGGAAAGGGTTCACCCGCAAACTCATGGATTAATCCCATAAATTTGGTAAGTAAAGTCCTGACGTAAAAGGCCAAATGAGGACAAGGATTTTTTGTGTGTGTATGTTTATGTTTAATTTCGTATTTTTATTTTTCATCATCTAGGTTTAATACACCTTGTTCACTCCTACTTTAGATAAATAACTTAAGCACATTATTATTTTTTATTATTAAAGGAAGAACCCTTCGATGTAAAGCGGTTTATCATCTGTGAGATCACCTGCTTATGTGGTCAATATATTTATTAGAAATTTAGAGTTTAGATTAGTTGCTAGGCAACTACTGTTTACCCACATGGCCACGTCGAGTAGGATGAGGACTGTTCCATTCTCAGAACCTTTTAGTTCCTGTATATCTACTTTATGGTTACAAGTTCCCTCCTAATATTGATTTTAATATTTTTTGAAGGTCTGTAGTAAATACCTATCCTGAAAAGCTGTTGTCATAGTTAAATGTGATTATGGATTATTTTTTAAATGAGCCTTATTAAGTCGTAACTTACATAATAAAATTAAGCAATGTAAAGTCATAATTTGATGAGTTTTGCCAGAGATACACAGTAGTGTAACAAACACTCTGAAAACGATATAGTGGTTATTTTCATTAACCCGAGAGGTTCCTTTGTTCTCCCTTGCAGCCCAGTCCTCATCCCTTAACCCTGGCAACCACTTTATCTGCTGTTACTATAATTTTGCTTTTCTAGAATTTCATATAAATGGAATCATGCAGTACATAGTTTTTTTATGGCTGATTTCTTTTACATAGCATAATACTGTTAATATTCATCCATGTCTTGTATATCATTAGCTTTTTTTTTATGGTTGAGTAGTAGTTCATGGTCTGGATATATCACAGTTTATCTGTTAATCACTTGTTGGACATTTGGGCTGCTTCTAGCTTTTGGTTAGTACGAATAAAGAGTCTGGACATTAGAGTGCATGTCTTTGTGTAATGTGTTTTCATTTGTCTTGGGTAATAACTTAGGAATGATATTGCTGGGTCATATGGTAAGTGTGTGTTTAACTTTATAAGAAGTATATGTTTAACAAACTGCCCAGCTGTTTTCCGATGTGCCTGACCATTTGTATTGTCAAGTGTAATTTCTTTCAATGTCATTCTCCTGTTATAAATTACGAAAGCATTTTCAGATTTCAGTGCTTTATAAAGGCTTTTTTGATTTACTTTTTAAACGTATTTATATTATTCTACTTTTTTTGGAGGGGGATGGCAAATCACTTGAACCTTTTTGAGTTTTACTTTACTAATCTCTAAAATCTGCTTTCACAAGATGGTTTTGAGGGTTAAATGAGATGATGGTTGTGGATTTATTTTGACAGTTCTAACACAATGTAAGCTGTTGCTATCTCCACATATTTATCAAAGGTTTAGGATGATTCTTTAGTCTGTTTAATTAATTATATCTTTGAAATACCATAATAGAAAGTATTTAGTCCATGGACTATAGAAAAAAAAATGAATAAGAATTTGCCATCATTTTTCTAATAATGTGTATGTGTTTATTTTGAGATGTGTATGTGTATGTGTTTCTAATAATGTGTATGTGCTTATTTTGAGATGAATAGTTGCATAAACATAAAAATTTGAATAACACACAAAGGTATAAAATGAAAAATAAAAATCTCCCTATCTTTTCTACCTCCTTTGTCAGAGATAATCATTTTAGAACTTTTTTTCCTATTTTTAATTGTCTCATCATTATGCCAGTTTTTTATATAATATACTAAACTTTAACCTTCAGTAACCTAATATCTCCCCATTGTGAAAAATAGAAGGATTTAACTTTTAATACTGATCCTACCTTCTTCCTTTTATTTTTTGGTTGCCTTTATGATTAAACTTATAGCTGTTTAACAGTTAACTTTAGAGTGTTCAGACATTGTCTCTAAACTTGCCACTTTATAAGTTGTAAAAAAAAAAAATTAGCTTTTCTCCTCATCTTTCCCTTGAATTCCTCACATTCCCTTTCCAGTTTTTCAACTGTAACATTTATTTTATATGTCAAGGTTTATAATAGTTATACTTGCTGATTCTGAAAAGCAGTTAAAATATTACATTATATAAATAATATGACTAAACAAAGTGGTATGATGAGATTCTTAGAGAGCAAATGGATTTATTTTATTTTACTTTAAGTTCTGGGATACATGTGCAGAACGTGCAGGTTTGTTACATAGGTATACATGTGCCATGGTGGTTTGCTGCACCTGTCAACCTGTCACCTAGGTTTTAAGCCCCCCATGCATTAGGTCCTCATGCTCTCCCTTACCTTGCCCCCCACCCCCAGCAGGCCCTGGTGTGTGATGTTCCCCTCCTTGTGTCCGTGTGTTCTCATTGGAGAACAAATGGATTTCTTACGCTCTCTTTGTACTCCAGAGCTGCCATACTTTAATTTGGTTTCTAGTTTGGACTGTGGCTATTTTTCCTGGATTTTCTTTATTTTTATTTTATTTTATTTTATTTTTTGAGACGGAGTCTCGTTCTGTCACCCAGGCTGGAATGCAGTGGCATGATCTCGGCTCACTGCAACCTCCGCCTCCCGTGTTCAAGTGATTCCCCTGCCTCAGCCTCCCGAGTAGCTGGGATGCCACCATGCCAGGCTAATTTTTTGTATTTTCAGTAGAGACGAGATTTCACCGTGTTAGCCAGGTTGGTGTCGATCTCCTGACTTCGTGATCTGCCTGCCTTGGCCTCCCAAAGTGCTGGGATTACAGGCGTGAGCCACCGCACCCGGACCTTTTCCTGTATTTTCTGTTTTTTTTTTTTTTTTGAGATGGAGTCATGTTCTCCGTCTCATCAACAACAACAACAAAAAATTGATATAATAAAGTTATAATATAGTTATTACTTTGAATATTAGTCTTTTTTCGTAAGACTATATGCATCAATTGTTGTTATCTCCAGATATAATCTGATTTGTACTTTTAATGTGAGTAAGTTGCTTTTCAGTAAATATCTTCTTGGAAAATAAAAAAAGGGCTGAAAGATAAATATTCATTATTACGTAGGATAAATGCTTTCCTAACCTTGGTTATTAGTGATATATTAATAGTGATATCCTATTTTTTACACTTTTCTGGACAGTTGAAAATGATAAGTATTAATTGAGATAACACATTACCATAGTATTGTTGGTGTTAGAAATGGCAATAAAAGAAACATCACGGAGCAAACATCAAGTAAAGTATTGTCTGCGTTTTCCTCCTTGATGGATCCAGGACAGCTCCTTACAACTTGGTTGCACATCAGCATAGGAGGCATCTCTGTATATATTAAATACTTACTAAATGATCTTACTCAAAGACGAGCCTGTAGGTATGTTCTAGGTGACTCTAAATCTCTAAATTGGATTTCAGCACTTCTCTTAATTTTTTCCCTTATAGCTAGTGGTAATATTTGCTATGAAGGTACTTAGTGTATTAATAAAGTAGGAAATTTAGCCAGTTTAAAAGGTCTAAATTATAGAATTAAATAAATTGCAATAGTATTAATTAAGGGCTTATTATAATTTATTAACTTTCATTTGCTTAATAAAATTTCATAAAAACCTAAGTAGTCTTTTATAAATGTGGAAAGCTAGTTCCTTGATAATAAGTTAAAATATAATGTATAACTAGTCAATTCATAATGTTACTGTTTTGAGATTGTCATAAATCTAAGAGGTGATTTTTATCATTAAAAGCATTTTGATGAAAATGTTCCATGCTCGTGTTACTTTATTCTACTTTTTGTATTAGTATCTAACAAACTGAACTTTCATGTTGTATTCTCTATGTGTAACCAGTTTTGGCTTTCAAATAACTTTTTCCCTTAGTTTTCTTTGTACTGACTTTGTCCTTTGAATAATATTTTTCTTATATTCCATGAAATGGTTTATTTAGATGAACTACAGTGTCGGTATTTGGTAATGCCAGGATAAAGATTTTGTGTCTATGAGTTGTCTCACAAGATAGCTTAATTCTGCTGAGCAAAATATACTTTAGCAACATAAAGATTGTGAACTTGGTTATGCTGTAAGATGTGATTCTTGTTATCTAGTCAAATTTAACAAGTTGTTACAGAAAACAATTTACATTTTTGAGTGTTTATCTAAGTCCAGGGGTCTTTTCTTCTCCTTTATTTTGTGCATGCATGTGTTTTTTTTTGTTCATTTTTTATTCACAAAATGACTTTAGAAATAAGTTATAAAATGATTAGGAGAAAGAAAATGACAGTATGATTTCCTGTTTACTACCCAGCAGCAAGCTTTTTCCATAGAGAGTAAAGAGCTGTGGTAGTGACTGTGTAAACCACATGGTACATTAGAGAAGCTCACTTTGACTGTTGAGGTTATACATGGAGAGTAAACATAAGAAAATTAAATTTATTTTCTAATGGTATTGAAACTCTGAGATTTAACTAATGTATTTACAATACTGTGAAATTAGCTTTTCTTAGAGTTTCAATGTATTATTTTTGAAAGTTTCAACCAATAGAACCACATGGAGCAAACCATCAAATAAGCTTTCATATACATTTTGAAGTTATTTATAGAATTGTAAAGTTGCTGTTACACACACACTTGCTCCTTCTCAATCAACAATCAAGTTTTATGTATTGATTTTGTAAGTTGAAGTCTCATGAAATTCACTTATTAATGTTAGTTTAAAGATTTTCTACATAGATGGTCAAGTTATCTGCGAACATCCACAGTTCTGCTTTTTCCTTTCCAATCTTTATGCCTCTGATTTCTTTTTCTGATCATATTTCACTGGATAGGACCTCCAGTACATTGTTGAATAAAAGTGGTAAGAGTGGATATTTTGCTTTATTGCTCATCTTATTGGGAAAGCATTTATTTTACCACTTAAGTATCACATTAGCTGTTCCTTTTCTGTTGCTGCCCTTTATCAGGTTGAAAAAATTCCCTACTATTCCTAGTTCGGAGAGTTTTTATCATGAGTGGTGGTCAGTTTTTTCTAAAGATTTTACTGCTTCTATTGAAATGGTCATTTGATTTTTTCCTTTTATTCTCTTAATATGGTGAATTACTTTCATTGCTGGAATAAATTCCATTTGGTCATGGTGTATTTAAAAAAATATATTACCAATTTGGACTTACTGATATTTTGCTAAGGGTTTTTTGCATTTACAAGAGTATTGATCTGTAAATTTCTTTTCAGTTTTGATACAGTGGTTATGCTGGATTCATAAAATAGGTTGGGAAGCACTTGTTTCTCATAAGGTGGATTGTATTTTTTCTTCAGTGTTTGACAAAATGTATCAGTGAAGCCATGTGGGTTGGAGCTTTCTTTGTGGGAAGATTTTTGATGATAAATGAGATTTCTTTAGATACAAGGCTATCCATATTTTCTATTTCCTCTTGTGTCATTTTTGGTAAATTGTATTTTTTAAGGATTTCCTTTTCATCCAAGATGTTCGTCTAAGTTACTGGGTGCAAAGTTTTTAATATTCCCTTATCCTTATTTTTATTTTTTTAGTAGAGCCAAGATTTGCTCCATTGCCCAGGCTGACCTTGACGTCCTGGGCACAAGTGATCCTCCCACCTTGGCCTCCCCGAGTGCTGGGATTACAGGCTCCCTTATCTTTTGAATGTCTGTAAGATCTTAGCGATATCTCCTTATTAAATCCTGATATTGGTAAATTATATACTTGCTCTCTTTTTTCCTTTGATAATCTTGCTAGGAGTTTATTCATTTTATGAAATCTTTTTTTTTTTTTTTTTTGAGATGGAGTCTCGCTCTGTCACCAAGCTGGAGTGCAGTGGCGCAGTCTCAGCTCACTGCAACCTCCGCCTCCTGGATTCAAGTTGATTCTCCTGCCTCAGCCTCCTGAGTAGCTGGGATTTACAGTCATGTGCCACCATGCCTGGCTAATTTTCTACTTTTAGTAGAGACAGGGTTTCTCCATTTTGGTCAGGCTGGTCTTGAATTCCTGACCTCAGGTGATCCACCCGCCTTGGCCTTCCAAAGTGCTGGGATTACAGGCCTGAGCCACTGCACCCAGCCAACTTTTTAATGATTTTTTAAATGATCCATTATGTGGTCTTATCATTTGGTCTGTCTGTATTTTATTTTTTGGGGGTATAGTGTTATAAATATCTAGTCAAGATGATTGGTAATGGGTCATAGTCTTCTATGTCTTCACTGACTCGTTTTTTTTTTTTCCTCTAGTTCTGTGACTCAGTGTTATAGTCTCCAGCTATGATTGTGAATTTATCTGTTTCTCTCTTTAGTCCTACCTTTTTAATTTTATATATTTTGAAGCTCTATTATTAGAGGCTTTTTTGTTGTTATATCTTCTTGATGTATTGCTTCTTTTATCCTTATGAAATGTTCACCTTTTTCTCAAGTGACACTCTTTATCTTGGAATTCAGTTTGTGTGATATTAATATAGTAACTCCTGATTTTTTATGATTAGTGTTTGCATCTTGTATCTTTTCAACTGTCCTATTATATTTAGTCTTTGTTTTGTATTTAAACTGTTTCTCTCGTTGACAGCATATGTTTGGGTCGTGTCTTTTTTAAAAAATCTAATTTGACAATCTTTACCTTTTAAATGGGAGTTTTTAGGCCAGTCATATTTAATGTAATTATTGATATGATTGAGTTTTCTGTTTGTGTCATGTGTTCTTTGTATCTTTTCCCTATTTTTTTGCCTTTGTTAGGATTTAGTATCTTTTCAGTATCCTATTTTATCTCTCCTATTGGCTTGTTATTTATGTGTCTTATTTTAAAGCAATTTAAAAATTTATAGTTAATGTTATTGTTGGTGTGGTTGAACTTAGGCATACTGTTATTTTTTTAAAAAAATACCTCTCTTCATACTTTCTTATCTTCTTTTGAGTTAATTGAATTTTTTTCAGTATATTCCACTAACAGTATGCATTCTCAACAGGAGTGGTAATTCTCCTATAGGGCAATCATAGGTTCTTGGAAAAGGGTACAGAATATCCTTTTATATTACAATTGTTTGTGGCTCTCCAATCACATTATATAAACAGATATATCTTTGGTATTAAAATTTCTTGGTGGGGACCGAAGTGATTTAGAGGGAGTTTTCTAAAGAGGCTCCTTAGGTGAGCCAAGGAAAAACCTTTGATAAACAGTTCTGTCATCATTTTAGCTTGCATTGCTTTTTTAGGTATTGTTCTAAGGTAGTGGAATACAGAATACATGTACAGGTTTGTTATATGGATAAATAACATGTTGTAGGGGTTTGGTATACAGATTATTTCGTCATTCAGGTAATAAACATAGTACCCTATAGGTAGTTTTAAGATCCTCACTTTCTCCCACTCTCCACCCTCAAAATACATCCTCAGTGTATACTCTCTAAAGTACAACCAGGGTGATTTTGGTCCCCAGAGGACATTTGGCAATGTCTGGAGACATGTTTGAAATGATGTGGGGGTGGGATTGCTACTGGCATCTAGTGGGTAGAGGCCAGATATGCTGCTGAATGTTCTATAATGGACGGAATAGTATCCCATGGCAAAAAAATTTCCAGTTCAAAATGTTAGTAGTGCTGAGGTTGAGGAACTCTATTCTTGAGATTACAATATTCATTCTTAATTTATTACAGTCTATGTAGGGTTAGTATTTTACTGCTCCATATAAAATATAAGACTCTTCCAATGCTATATTTATATTTGCCCCCACTTCTGAGAGTGCCTTGTGCTGTTGTTCTCCTGTATAGTATATCACCATGTTATAAACTCTGTTATAATGTTATATATTTTTTGCCTTATTCATACGTCTTTTGAAAAAGAGCAGGAAAAGTATGGTCATTTACACTTATATACCTATTTTCAGTTAAAAAATTTTTTTCCTATAGATTTCATTTTCTGTCTGATATTTTTTTTCACCTGAAGAACTTTTCCTTAGCTTTTTTTTTTAAACTTTTAGTTTCCAGAATACATTATTGGTTAGATGTTATATGGGTAAATTGCGTGTTGAGGGGGTTTGGTATACAGATTATTTCGTCATCCGGGTAATAAGCATAGTACCCTATAGGTAGTTTTAAGATCCTCACCTTTCTCCCACCCTCCACCCTCAAAATACACTCTCAGTGTATACTCTCTAAAGTACAGTGTGTACTCAAATGTGTACTCAATGTGTACACAAAGTACACCCTCAGCGTGTTCTTGAAACATCGAGTATACATTGTCCATGTGTACTCAGTGTTTACCTCCCATTTACACGTGAGAACATGTAATATTTGGTTTTCTACTCCTTCATTAGTTTACTTAGGTAATACCCTCCAGCTCCATCCATGTTGCTGCAAAGGACATGATCTCATTCTTTTTTTATGGCTGCATAATATTCCATGGTGTGTATGTACCACATTTTCGTCTGCTGTTGATGAGCATTTAGGTTGATTCTGTGTCTTTTCTGTTGTCAGTAGTGCTGTGATGAACATATGTGTACATGTGTCTTTATGATACATGTATGATTTATATTCCTTTGGTCATATTTTCAATAATGGAATTGCTGGGTCTAATGGTAGTTCTGTTTTAAGTTCTTTGAGAAATTGCTGAACTGCTTTCCACAGCGGCTGAACTAATTTACATTCCCACCAGCTATCAAATTAGAATCCTGTACAATTTAAAAAATCCTTCAAAATGAAGATGAGCCCAGCCACAGTGGCTCAAATTAGAATCCAAACTATCAAATTAGAATCCTATATACAGTTTTAAAAATCGTATATGTGGCCGGCTAATTTTTAAATTATTTTTTTATAGAGATGGAGTCTCAATATGTTGTCCAGGCTGGTCTCAAACTCCTGGCCTCAAGCGATCCTCCCACCTTTTCCTCCCAAAGTGCTAGGATTGCAGGTGTGAGCCACTGTGGCTGGGCTCATCTTCATTTTTGAAGGATTTTTTAAATTGTATATAGGATTCTAATTTGATAATTGTGGTTTTTTTATCATTTTAAATATGTCATTTCATTTTCTTCTGGCTGCCATGGTTTCTGATGAAAAGTCACCTGTTGTTATTTTGACTTGCTGTTTCCTTATATAGTCATGTGCCATTGATATGGTTAGGCTTCGTGTCCCTACCCAAATCTCATCTTAAAAATTGTAATCCCTACGTGTCAAGGGAGAGACCAGGCGGAGGTAATTGAATCACGGGGGCAGTTTCCCCCATGCTGTTCTCGTGTTATCGAGTTCTCATGAGATCTGATGGTTTTATAAGGGGTTCTTCCCCTTTAACTCGGCCTTCCTGCCGCCCTGTGAAGAAGGTGCCTTCTTCCCCCTCACCTTATGCCATGATTGTAAGTTTCCTGAAGCCTCCCTAGCCATGCTGAACTATGAGTCAATTAAACTTCTTTCCTTTGTTAATTACCCAGTCTCTGGCAGGTTTTTTTTGTTTGTTTGTTTTTTGATATGGAGTCTTGCTCTATCACCCAGGCTGAAGTGCAGTGGTGTGATCTTGGCTCACTGCCACCTTTGCCTTTCAGGTACAAACAATTCTCCTGCCTCAGCCTCTGGGACTATAGGTGTGTGCCACTGTGCCTGGCTAATTTTTGTATTTTCATTAAGCGACGGGGTTTCACCATGTTGGCCAGGCTGGTCTCGAACTCCTGACCTCAGGTGATCCAGCCATCTCAGCCTCCCAAAGTGCTGGATTTACAGGTGTGAGCCACTGCGCCCGGCCTCAGGCAGTTCTTTATAGCAGTATGAAAATGGACAAATACAGCCATATAATGATGTTTTGGTCCATAACAGATTGCTAATGATGGTGGTCCCATAAGATTATAATACCATATTTTTACTGTACCTTTTCTATGTTTAGATATGTTTAGATACACTAATACTTAACATGTTTCAATTGCCTACAGTATTCAGTACAGTAACGTGCTGTACTGAGATCTCCCTCTCACTTTCCAGCTATTTTGGCAGCTCTGAACTCTGTCTCTTCAAACTAGTAAGACTTTCTGAGTTCTAGCCATTCCACTCTAGTTTCAAGGAATGGGAGAGCGCCTTGAGTAAAAAGCCACATCAGTGCGAATCTCATTTGTAGCTCCCTTCTTTACAGTCAGTTTCCTTCAATTTCTGCCTGCTTTTGCAGCTTTTCTACTGCCTTCAAATTGTCATTCTTTATATTTTATACAGAGTTTATAATTTTATATATAGAAGGGTTAGTCTGATACAAGTTACTATACTACTACTGGAAGTGAAATTTTGCTAGGTATGTGTTTTAATGTATAGATACACAAATTTATTTAAGCTTCATGATTCACATACTGCTGTATTCCAATTTAATTCTTAAATTATGAGGAGAAGAAGTTTGTGAGAAGTAGGAGTACAGTTTATAAAAATTTATCAGAAATTATGAGTACTACAAGTTATGAGGTGTATGAAACTAATAGTTTAAACCGAGTTTGAATCACTTATCTAGAAAGATAGCTTTTTCTTAAGCTCATATGTAGAATTTCAACCTAGAAGTGACTTTAAAAGTTATCTAGTCTTTTTTTTTTTTTTTTTTTTTTTTTTTTTTTTTTTTTTTTTTTTAGTTTTAGGGATGAGTCTTTTTATGTTGCTCAGGCTGATCTCCAACTCCTGGCCTTCAGGAGTCCTCATGCCTCGGCCTCCCAAAATGTTGGGATTACAGGCAGGAGCCACTGTTGGTGGCCTCTCTAGTCTTATATCCATTCATCTGACAGATTTCAAAACTGAGGCCATATTTCAAGTTAGGTATAGAGCCAGGATTAGTACCTGAGATTTCTTTTTTGCTGATCTTAGATACTTCAGATTTTGTTTCTTTCTTGACGTTTAGGAATAGATTGAATTTCTTCAAAAAATATTTTGTATCTTGTTGGGGGGGAGGGGCTCAGAAGTTTTGGGTGGAAAGATTTAAAATCCTCTGAGTATGGAAAAGGGGGAGTATCTTCCACCTTGTGGAATCCTCACACTGTGTGAGTAATATTATTCACTGCTCTACTTCCCAGTGGAGAATGCAGAGAAGCTGTACCTCTTGAACTTGTGTTTTCTCTCTTTGAGTAACTGTTTCCATAGTTTCTATACCCTTTGACATAGAGAAACTTTCTTTAGTTTGTGTTCGCATTTTATAATCAATCACATTACCTTTTGATGTGTGATAGCCCTGCACCTACCACTAATTTTCTGTGTTTTTGGTTATGCTAGTTTTTCGGCTTGGCATGTTTTTTCCCCTCTGTCTTTTTAAGTGAAAAATCTCCTGTGTCCTTCAAAGCCAAATTATTTACCCAGATCATGGTCTTACAAAATTAGAATGATTTCTTTTGTCTGTATAATATTGCAACAATTTCCTGTCTTGACCTCCTTATGACTTTCTATTGCCTTGTTATTACATAGATCTGTTATTTCTCCTTTCCATTGTAACCTCCTTGACAGCACTGTGTCTAATACAACTTTATATTTTGTACAGTTTGTAATTTTCCTTCTGAAATACAGTTCACCATTATTTTGAGCACGGTAGTCTCTTAATCAGTATGTGATACAAAAATGGGGAAGAAAATAATGATTCTAGAAGTTCAGATAACAGTATGTCACAGATATTAGGGCAAGGAACTAGAACTGGGACAGCTGAGGCAAGGTAGGAAACACAGACTAGATCACAGTTATGAAAGCAGCCTAATGTTCAGGAGAGAGTTTCGGTAAGGGCAGCACTGGAATTCTAGAACCATGTTGTATATCTGTCAAATTTTTGTGTAGCAAAACAGAACTGACAGGGTAGGAATTGGTAGATTTGACTGAATGGTTATTCCTGACAAAGATAGTGGGTTGTACCCTGATTGTCCCAGAATGGACTAGTAAATAAGGTATCTAAATTAGGTAAGTAGAATAAAAGATTGGGAATATTGTAGTTTTTATGGTTTGGAAGATTAATGCGTATTTTAAGGGTAATTTTTGCTTTACTCTTAGAACGGTAAAGTACCTCTGATTTCATGAAACCTAACTTTCTAAGCCTATAAGAAGAATCTTTTCTACTGTGTTTCTAATGGATCACTTATCTTAGATATTGTGGGCAACTAAAGTTGCACTGTATCTGTTTCATTATTTAACAGCTCTGAGCACTGGTGGTCTTTGTTTGCCCTCCTGAGCAATATAAAACAAGTTCTGTTTTCCAGTTTATAGGCCTTCGGATTTTTCGAGATTGCTATCCTGTCTTCCCTAAAATCCCTCTTTCTAAGCAAAGTGCTCTCAATTCTTTATTATGTTTATAATTATTATAAGACACGGTTTGCAGCCCTCTCATACACGGTACAGTTGTCCCCCAGTATCCACGGGGGGTTGGTTCCAGGACTTCCTGGAGATAGCAAAATCTGCTGATGCTCAAATCCCTTACATAAAATGGTGTAGTATTTGCATACAACCTGCACACACCCTCCTGTATGCTTTAAATCATCTTTAAATTACTTACATTACCTAATCCACTGCAAATGCCATGTAAAGATTCTATGTAAGTGGTTGTTACACTGTCCTGTTTAGGGAATAATGACAAGAAAAAAGTCTGTAAGTGTTCAGTACAGATGATTTCTTTTTCCTGAATATTTTTGATCTGTGGTTGGTTGAATCCACAGATGGGAAACCCACAGATATGGAGGGCTGACTGTATTGGTATCTTACTGTGGAAATAGCTCAGTTTGTCAATGTTTCTCTTACAGCGTAGTGCCCAGAAGTGAATCTGTTACTGCAGATGTGATCGGTGCAGGGAAAAAGCACAGTGAGACTGTTAGCCTCTTCTCATAGTCTGTCACTGTAGGGGCCTTCGGTGCGATTAAAGGCTGTAGCCACTTTTTCTCAGTTTTACTCTTTAAGGGAACTTTTATTATGTTTTGATTATATAAATCATTTATAAAGTCAGTTTATTGTCCAGATGTTACCAGTTTACATTCCTAGCACTAATATGTGAAGGGTTCTACTTTCTTATACCGTAGCCATTGCTGGGTGTTACTCTTTCTAGTTTTTGCCATTGTATTGCTGTTTTATTTTACATTTCTTTGTTACTGAGGTTTAACGTTGCTTAAATGAATTATTATTCTTGTTCTTAGTTAAGTTTTAAATATGAGGCCTATCCTTAAACATGTATAAATTTTATGTTCTTATTTATTGGTAAGAGCTTTTTGTGTATTGAGAATACCTTTATTTGATTAATCTTTTTTGTTGTGAATATTTTTCTAGTTTGAATATACCTTTTAATGTTACGGTATATTTTTGCCTTGTAAAATTTTTTAGTTGTTAAGTAGTTTAATATGTCAGACTTTTCCCATTCAAGGAGACCATTGAGGTCATACTTACAAACTCTTCACCTTTTTCCTTTGAGCATCATTATGATGAAAACATTTTGTATTATCTAAGTAATATATTCTCCTTTAAAAGAGCCAAGCAGTAAATATATAGGGTATCGTGTGATTCCTTTCTTCCATATTCTTTCTCAGAAATAACCACTGCCAAGTATGTCATGCCAATATAAAGCTAAAATTTTTAAGAAGTACTTAAGAACTAGAAGAAAATGCCAAATTATAGGTAGTATTATCCCCTTGTCAAGAGATTCGGATTGAAGAGATTAGGCAGGGATAGGAAGGGGGATAATTAAGAAAATGAGACTTTTACACTTTATTCTGTGTAAACATTGCATCTTTCTGTTTTGCCTCACATTACATAAATGATACCGTAATCACTTACTATGTCTTGGAGATTTATCCATGCCATGGGAACCTGGAACTCGAAAAAAGTGACTAGTTTGACTTAACTTGCTCTTAGTGAATCTATTCTTACTTCTTGTCCATCTACAATTTCAAAGTACATCTGATGCTTGAAACAAGACTAGAGTTAGGGGCACAGACCACCTGCACGGTCAAAAATGCGCAAATCACTTTTGACTCCCTCACAACTTAACTACTAATAGCTTGCTGTTGACTGGAAGCCTCGCGGATAACATAAACAGTCCATTAACACACATTTTATATATAATGTACTGTATTTTTACAATGAAGTAAGAGAAAAAATGTTATTAAGAAAATGTATTATTTTTCATCAAGGGGAAGTGGATCATCATAAAGGTCTTCATCCTTGATGTCTTCAAGTCAAGTAGGCTGAGGAGGAAGAGAAAGGGTTGGTATTGCTATCTCAGGAGTGGCTGAGGCAGAAGAAGCAAATCCAGGTACAAGTGGAGTCATTCAGTTAAACCCATGTTATTAAGGGTCAGCTGTACCTATATATGTCATTTGAGTGTAATGGTTAAGAGGATGGGACTGAATTCCAAATCCTGGCTTTGCCATTTATTAGTGTCTGTGGGCACAATCCTTAATCTGTCTTAAATTTCTGGTCTGTAAAATGGAGATGATAAAAGTGCCTACTTTATATGGGTATAGGAATCCAAGCTCATAATGTGTGATTAGCTCTTATCAGACTGCATGGGACATATTAAATAGTAAATAACTATTTAATAATCTGTAGAATATTACTAGTTTGACATCAACTTTACTAATATTTAGTATTTAACTCACCCATTGTTTACTTCTATATAGACAGTCGGGATACTTGCCCTTTTAAGTTTTGTTGTTGTTGTTGTTGTTGTTGTTTTTAAAACATTCTTCAGATGCTTTTACATTGATCAAAAATCACTGATGCTGACCGGAACTCAAAGTGATAAGCTACTTGCTAACTATCAATATCAATGTTTTCATTATGATATTTCTCTTTGGAGAAGACCAGTGTAAAAGAGGAGTTGATCAGTATTCCTTTCCTGTCAACTGACCTTCATGTTGTACTCTCTTCCTCAGGCTTCATCTTTCTTAATTTAAAAATTCATGTTTGTCTGTAGTAATTACAAAAATTCATTATAGGATTTCCAAGTTCTAATAGTTGCTTTCTAGATTTGGTCTTCATTATGATACTGCTCCTATATTTTTCAACACTTTTTCTTAAATGAAATAGTACTAAAGCGACAAGTACGTACATACATTTTTTTCCTCTCACTCAGGATTGGGTAAGACCAAATAGTCATATTTTAATTCTTTGGTTAAACTTTATGATTAAAAATGCTTGCTGTGTAAGAATACTAATTTCCTTATCTTACACAGTTAGGAGCTAAGACATTTCCATCTAAAATTCCTGGGTCAAGAAATAGAGGCTTAAGTGTATTTTTTTAATGTGGAATACAAACCAGTAGAAAAGCTAAAAATGAAAATGAAAGTAACAAAAATTGGGAAGAAAGGGCAGAGGGTATCTTAATTTCTCAATCTTTATAGTAAGAAGTCATTTGATGTGGTTAATAGGTGATAAATCAAGAAACATCCACAATGCCAAAAATATTAAAAGTGGCTGTTTATGAGAAGTGGAATGGAGAATGAGGTCTTGTGTATATGTGGTCCTGTGTGTATGGGAATGGTGGAAGAGATACTTTTATTTTTGAGTCTTACATGCTTTTATGTACTACTGAGTTATCACTTTCTACCTGTATTAGTTAATAAAACATCCTACAGGATTCCAGTTTATAAAGATAAAAGCATAGTTTTATATGTTGATATATGTATAAAAATGAATTGGATGGAAATATACCAAAATATAATAAGTGGTTATTTCTGGGTATTGAGTTTTTTCCTTCCTTATATTATTTTGTATTTTGTAAAATTTCTGAAATGCATGTATTTTATTAATTTATATAAAAATTGTTAAGAGAAGTTATTTAGGACTTCCTAACATTTAATTTAATTTGTCCCGGGTTTAATTTGTTGTCACACTTACTTGGCATCAGAATGTTTGCTTTTTGTTTGTACAATTACTAGAACTTTTTTAAATTAAAGGAATTGTACATCATAGTCTTTGCATGCTTAGTAAGGTTGGCATTCTGCTGAAAATAACAGAAAACCTAGCCAACAGTAACAACAAAAAAGGACATTTTCTTTTTTTCCACTTAAGGGTATAGGTGGGCGGTTATAGTTAGCAGATCAGGATAGAATCATCAGAGATTGAAGCTATCTCTGGTTCATCACCGTTAGCTTGTTTGCTTTTCATATACTTGTTGCTTCAAGGTTTCAAGATGGCTGTAGTAATGGGCATTACATCTCTGTTCAAGGCAGTCAAATGGGAGATGGCTGGTGTCAGCCACACTGTCCCTTATATTAGGAATGCAAAAGCTTTCTCCGAAGCTCGCTATCAGACTTACTTTTCCAGAACTGGGTTATGTGCCACTCCTAGCTGTTAGAAGGTGAATATTTGGCTTTCAATTTCTGTAGCGGGAGATGGCAAGAGTAAAGGGGTTTGGTAATTGATGTTGTGTTAGACAACCAGCAGTCTGCTACAAAAAGTTTTGGCAAATGTAACTAATGTTTGTACTTCAGTTCTCAATCAGATACCCAGGAGAGACAGTAGCCTTTCTAGAGGTCAGATTGAAAATTTGACATACCAACATTCTCTAAAATTTACTCTTGTCGGGTATTATTCTGAAATGTAGCCATTTTGTCTGGTCCTAGGAGTACTAGGTTTATGCTCCTTTCTTTTTTTTTTCTTTTTTGAGATGAAGTCTCACTCTGTCGCCCAGGATGGAGTGCAGTGGTGCCATCTTGGCTCAGTGTAACCTTTGTCTCCCGGGTTCAAGTGATTCTCCTGCCTCAGCCTCCCAAGTAGCTGGGATTACAGGCACCTGCTACAACACCTGGCTAATTTTTGTATTTTTAGTAGAGATGGGGTTTCGCCATGTTGGCTAGGCTGACCTCGAACTCTTGACTTCAGGTGTTCTGCCTGCCTTGGCCTCCCAAAGTGCTGGGTTTACAGGTGTGAGCCACCGCACCTGGCTATGCTCCCTTCTTAAAAAAAAGATAGTTTTGGTATCCTGAAGTGATAATGAATTATGGGGTACGTTTGGTAAATTATTTCAATTAGTTTTATTCCCCTTGTAGAATCCAAATTCCTGTTTGTAGCCGGTAATCTGAGGATTGTGAATTTTTAATGTAACAAGTCAATTATATAAGGGTTTTCATTGTTGTTTTTAAGTTACAGTGTGCAATGAAACGGATAGTCACAGGTTTTACAGCTTATGACTCCACCTCTACCAACCCAAATAATGGTCAGCCAAAAATATCCAAATTACATAGTTTGAAGTATTAGGTGTTACAGTTACTTGGATTGTCTTAAAGCCACATATTTTAATGGTTATTATCCCTTATTTTCTTATTCCTCTGTCACTGACTCCTTTTAAAATACTTTATGATGCAGATTTGAATAGTTGTCATTGTGATTTTTTTAAGTTCTGGGATTCATGTGCAGGACATGCAGGTTTGTTACATAGGTAAACGTGTGCCATGGTGGTTTGCTGCACCTGTCAACCCATCATCTAGGTATTAAGCCCAACATGCATTAGCTATTTATCCTGATGCTCTTTCTCCCCTCATCCCTGACAGGCCACAGTGTGTGTTGTTCCACTCCCTGTGTCCATGTGTTCTCATTGTTCAGCTCCCACTTAGAAGTGAGAACATGTGGTATTTGGTTTTCTGTTCCTGTGTTAGTTTGCTGAGGATAATGGCTTCCAGCTCCATCCATGCTCCTGCAAAGGACGTGATCTTGTTCCTTTTTATGGCTATATAGTATTCCATGGTGTATATGTACCACATTTTCTTTATTCAGTCTATCATTGATGGGCATTTGGGTTGATTCCATGTCTTTGCTATCAGGAATAGTGCTGCAATGAACATACCTGCATGTATCTTTATCATAGATTGATTTATATTCCTTTGGATATATACCCAGTAATGGGATTGCTGGGTCAAATGGTATTTCTGGTTCTAGGTCTTTGAGGAATAGCCACACTATCTTCCACAATGGTTGAACTAATTTGCTTTCCCACCAATGGTGTAAAAGTGTTCCTCTTTCTCCACAGCCTCACTAGCATCTGTTGTTTCTTGACATTTTAATAATTGCCATTCTGACTGGTGTGAGGTGGTATCTCCTTGTGATTTTGATTTGAATTTCTTGAATGATCAGTGATATTGAGCTTTTTTTTTTCATGTTTGTTGGCTGCATGTATGCCTTCTTTTGAAAAGTGTCTGTTTATGTTCTTTGCCCACTTTCGAATGAAGTTTTTTTTGTCTTGAAAATTTGTTTAAGGTCTTTGTAGATTCTGAATATTAGCCCTTTGTCAGATGGATAGATTGCAAAAATTTTCTCCCTGTACATTGTCTGTTCACTCTGATGATAGTTTCTTTTGCTGTGCAGAAGCTCTTTAGTTTAATTAGATCCCAGTCGTCAATTTTTGCTTTTGTTGCAATTGGTTTTGATGTTTTCATCATGAAAAGTTTGCCCATGCCTGTGTCCTGAATGGAATTGCCTAGATTTTCTTCTAGAGTTTTTATAGTTTTGGGTTTTATGTTTAAGTCTTTAAATCTGTATTGAGTTAATTTTTGTATATGATGTAAGGAAGGGGCCCAGTTTCAATTTTCTGCATATGGCTAGCCAGTTCTCCTAGCACCATTTGTTAAATAGGGAATCCTTTCCCCATTGCTTGTTTTTGTCAGGTTTGTCAAAGATCAGATGGTTATAGACCTGTGGTCTTATATCTGAGATTTCTATTTTATTCCGTTGGTCTATGTGTCTGTTTTGGTACCAGTACCATGCTGTTATGGTTTCTGTAGCCATGTAGTATAGTTTGAAGTCAGGTAGTGTGATGCCTCCAGCTTTGTTCTTTTTGCTTAGGATTTGTCTTGGCTATTCAGGCTCTTTTTTGGTTCCATATGAATTTTAAAGTAGTTTTTTCTTATTATGTGAGGAAAGTCAATGGTAGTTCAATGGGAATAGTATTGAATCTATAAATTATTTTAGGCAGTATGACCATTTTCACGATATTGATTCTTCTTATCCATGAGCATGGGATGTTTTTCCATTTGTTTGTGTCCTCTCTGATTTCCTTGAGTTCTCCTTGAAAAGGTCCTTCACTTCCCTTGTTAGCTCTATTCCTATGTATTTTGTTCTCTTTGTAGCAATTATGAATGGGAGTTCATTCATGATTTGGCTCTCTGCTTGTCTGTTGTTGGTGTATAGGAATGCTTGTGATTTTTACACATTGATTTTATATCCTGAGACTTTGCTGAAGTTGCTTATTAGCTTAAGAAGCTTTTGGGCTGAGATGATGGGATTTTCCAGATATAGGGTCATGTCATCTGCAAACAAGACAGTTTGACTTCCTCTCTTCCTGTTTGAATACACTTAATTTCTCTCGCATGATTGCCTTGGCCAGAACTTCCAATACTATGTTAAATAGGAATAGTGGGAGAGGGCATCCTTGTCTTGTGCCAGTTTTCAAGGGAAATGTTTCCAGCTTTTGCCCATTCAGTAAGATACTGGCTGTGATTTTATCATAAATGGCTTGTATTTGAGCTATGTTCCATAAATACCTAATTTATTGAGAGTTTTTAACATTAAGGGATGTTGAATTTTATTAAAGGCCTTTTCTGAGTCTTTTGAGATAATCATGTGGTTTTGTTTTTAGTTCTGTTGATGTAATGAATTATGTTTATTAATTTGCATATGTTGAACCAGCATTGCATCCTGGGAATGAAGCTGACTTGATCGTGGTGAGTAAGCTTTTTGATGTGCTGCTGGATTCACTTTGCCAGCGTTTTATTGAGGATTTTTGCATTAATGTTCATCAGGGATATTGGCTGAAGTTTTCTTTTTTTGTTTCATCTCTCCTGGGTTTTGGTGTCAGGTTGTTGCTGGCCTCATAAAATAAGTTAGGGAGAAGTCCCTCCTTTTCAATTGTTGGGAATAGTTTCAGAAGAAGTGATACTAGCTCCTCTTTGTACCTCTGGTAGAATTCAGCTGTAAATCCATCTGGTCCTGGGCTTTTTTTGGTTAGTATGCCATTTATTACTGCCTCAATTTCAGAACCTGTATTGGTCTATTCCTGGATTCAGCTTCTTCCTAGTTCAGTCTTGGGAGGGTGTATGTGTCCAGGAATTTATCCATTTCTTCTAGATTTTCTAGTTTATTTGCATAGAGGGGTTTATAGTATTCTCTGATGGTAGTTTGTGTTTCTGTGGGGTCAGTGGTGATGTCCCCTTTATCATTTTTTATTGAATCTATTTGATTCTTCTCTCTTTTCTTCTTTATTAATCTAGCTGGCGTTCTAGCTATTTTATTAATTTTTTAAAAAAACCAGCTCCTGGATTAGTTTTTTTTTTTTTGAAGGGTTTTTAGTGTCTCTCTCTCCTTCAGCTCTGCTCTGATCTTGGTTACTTCTTGTCTTCTGCTAGCTTTGTGGTTTGTTTGCTCTTGGTTCTCTAGTTCTTTTAGTTGTGATGTTAGGTTGTCAACTTGAGATCTTTCTAGTATTTTGATGTGGTCATTTAGTGCTATAAATTTCCCTCTTAACACTGCTTTAGCTACATCCCAGAGATTCTGGTACATTGTCTCTTTGTTTTCATTGATTTCAAGGAACTTCTTGATTTCTGCCTTAATTTCATTATTTACCCAGGAGTCATTCAGGAGCAAGTTATTCAATTTCCATGTAGTTGTGTGGTTTTGAGTGAGTTTCTTAATCTTGAGTTCTGATTTGATTGTGCTGTTGTCTGAGAGACTGTTAGGATTTCAGTTTTCCTGCATTTGCTTAGAAGTGTTTTACTTCCAATTACGTGATTGATTTTAGAGTATGTGCCATGTGGCACCAAGAAGAATGTATATTCTGTTGTCTTTGGGTGGAGAGTTCTACAGATATCTATCAGGTCCAGTTGATCCAGAGCTGAGTTCAGGTCCTGAATATCCTTGTTAATTTTCTGTCTTGATGATCTATCTAATATTGATGGTGGGGTGTTAAAGTCTCCCACTGTTATTATATGGGAGTCTTTGTCTCTTTGTAGGTCTCTAAGAACTTGTTTTATGAATCTTGATGCTCCTATATTGGATGCATATATATTTAGGATGGTTAGCTCTTGTTGATTTAATCCTTTTACCATTATGTAATGCCCTTCTTTGTCTTTTTTGATCTTTGTTGGTTTAAAGTCTGTTTTGTCAGAAACTAGGATTGCAACCTCTGCTTTTTACTGCTTTCCATTTGCTTGGTAAATTTTCCTCCACTCCTTTGTTTTGAGCTTATGTGTGTCTTTGCCCATGAGATGGGTCTCTTGAATACAGCACACTGATGGGTCTTGATTGTTTATGCAGCTAGCCATTCTGTGTCTTTTAATTGGGACATTTGGCCCATTTACATTTAAGGTTAATATTGTTATTTGTGAATTTGATTCTGTCATCATGATGTTAGCTGGTGGTTTTGCAGACGTGTTGATGTAGCTGCTTCATAGTGTCATTGGTCTTTGTATTTCAGTGTATTTTTGCAGTGGCTGGTAATGGTTTTTCCTTTTCATATTTAGTCTCCCTTTAGGAGCTCTTGCAAAGCAGGCCTGATAGTGGTGAATTCTCTCAGCATTTGCTTTTGTGAAAAGGATTTTATTTTTCCAAACTAAGCCTATGAAGCTTAGTTTGGCTGGACATGAAATTCTGGGTTGGAAATTTTTTTCTTAATGTTGTATATTGGTCCCCAATCTCTTTTAGCTTGTAGGGTTTCTGCTGAGAAGTCTGCTGTTTGTCTGATGGGCTTCCCTTGTAGGTGACCTGGCCTTTCTCTCTGGCTGCTTTTAACCTTTTTTCTTTGAGTTTTGACCTTGGAGAATCTGATGATTATGTGTCTTGGGGTTGATCTTCTCATGGAGTATCTTACTGGGGTTCTCTGGATTTCCTGGATTTGAATGTTGGTCTGTCTTACTAGGTTGGGGAAGTTCTCCTGGATGATATCCTGAAGTATATATTCCAACTTGGTTCCATTTTCCCCATCTCTTTCAGGTACCCTAATCAGTCATAGATTTGGTCTTCTTACATAATCCCATAGTTCTCAGAGGTTTTCTTTGTTCCTTTTCATTCCTTTTTCTCTAATCTTGGGAAGATAGTCTTCAAGCTCTGAAATTCTTTCCTCCACTTGGTCTCTTTGGCTATTTATACTTGTGGTTCCATTGTGAAGTTCTCGTGTTGTGTTTTTCAGTTCTATTGGGTCATTATGTTTCTCTCTAAACTGGTTATTCTGGTTAACAGCTCCTGTGATGTTTTATCATGGTTCATAGCTTCTTTGCATTGGGTTTGAACATGCTCCTTCAGCTCTGTGAAGTTTGTTATTACCCACCTTCTGAAGCCTACTTCTGTCAGTTCATCTAAGCGTTCGTCTAGTTGAGTGCCCTTGCTGGAGAGATGTTGTGATCATTTGGAGGAGAAGAGGCAGTCTGGCTTTTGGGGTTCTCAATGTTTTTTTCGTTGATTCTTTCTTATCTTCATGGGTTTATCCAGCTTCGATCTTTGAGGCTGCTGACCTTTAGATGGAATTTTTGTGGGGACTTTTTTGTTGATGCTGCTGTTGTTGCTTTCTGTTAGTTTCTCTTTTAACAGTTAGGGCTGGGTGTGGTGGCTTACGCCTGTAATCCCAGCACTTTGGGAGGCCGAGGCAGGTGGATCATGAGATCAGGAGATCGAGACCATCCTGGCTAACACAGTGAAACCCTGTCTCTACTAAAAAATACAAAAAATTAGCTGGGCGTGGTGGCATGCGCCTGTAGTCCCAGCTACTCAGGAGGCTGAGGCAGGAGAATTGCTCGAACCTGGGAGGCGGAGGTTGCAGTGAGCCAAGATCGTGCCACTGCACTCCAGCCTGGGTGACAGAGCAAGACCCCATCTCAAAACAAAACAAAAAAACAGGCCCCTCTCCCGTAGGGCTGCTGCAGTTTGCTGGGGGCCCGTTCCAGACCCTGTGCGTTTGGATCCCTCCCACACCTGGAGATGTCACCAGAGGGGGCTGCAGAACAGCAAAGATGGCTGCCTACTCCTTCCTCTGTGATTTCTGTCCCAGAGGGGCACCGACCTGATGCCAGCAGGAATGCTCCTATATAAGGTGTCTGGCGACCCCTGTTGGGGGGGTCTCTCTCAGTCAGGAGGCACAAGATCCAGGACCTGCTTAATGAAATCGTCCAGCTGTCCCTTGGCGGAGGGGATGCACTGTGCTGGGGATTGTCACACTCCTCTGGACTACCTGGATTCCTCAGAGCCAGCAGGGAGAAAGACTTAAGTCTGCTGATCCACAGAGACAGCTACTGCCTCTCCCCGCAGGGGCTGAGTCCCAGGGAGAGCAGAGTTCCATTCCTAAACCCCTGCTGGAGTTGCTAAAATTCCTGCAGGGAGGCCCTGCCCAGTGAGGAGGGATGGGTCAGGATCTGGCCTGAAGAGGCAGTCTGGCCACAGTCTGCCACAGCCGCTGTCCTTGCTGTGGAGAATTTCTCCTGGGTCCAAACCGTCCAGTCTCCCTGGCACCAGCAGGGAAAAAACGGCCAACTGGAGCTACAGTGCTGGCTGCTGCCCCTCCGGAGCTCAGTCATCTTAGGCAGCAGGCAGCTGCAGTGATGGCTGCTCTCCCTTCCCTGGGGAGCTTAGTCGTCTTGGACAGCAGGCAGCCGCAGTGATGACGGTGGCCCCTTTCCCTGGGAATTCGGTAGTCTTAGGCATTCTCCAGTTGAGTGACCGCCAAACATCTGCACAGCTCTGCGCTTGGCACGCAAGGCCCTGGTGGCATCGGCTCATGAGGGTGATATCCTGACCTGACCCACGGGTTGCACAGATCTGTGGAAAAAACATGGTTTCCTGGGCAGGGTAGCACAGTCACTCACTGCCTCCCTTGGCTGAGGGTGGGAGCTCCCCTTTCTCCATTGTGGCTCCCATGTGGGCCATTGCATCACCCTTCTTTTCCTCACTCTCCATAGGTCGCGCCAACTGCCTAGTCAGTCCCATGGAGAGAACCTGGATATCTCAAAGTTGCTGGTGCAGGATTCACTGGCCTTTTTTGTTCTTGGTGGGAGCCTCTGGCCACAGCGATTTCTATTTGGCCATCTTGGCGCCTGTCATTGTGATTTTTATGGACTTCTGCATAACATATTGCTGAATAAAATTATCAAATTAGACTTGTTTAAAAAATTTAAGTCTTAATTGTTTTCATCAATTGTTGGGTAAACTTTATGTTAAGTTTTCTTACCAGTTAGAGATACTATATTTATTCAACACCAAGCCATTTTTTCTTAGTCCAAAAAAGTGTTATTGCCTTATACTTTTGAGGAGTAAAAAATTGTTCTTGTAAATGAGCATGTTTGTATCTAGTTTTTGGACAAACTAATTTCTTTATTTACTTCTAGCGAAATATGTGCCAGAAACTGGGATGTGTGAGATACTGAGATGAAGAAACACTTGCCCTCATGGAGTCTAGAGTCTAGTGGGGAAAAAAGACTTCAAGATGAGTCAGTTTCCTCATTGATAAAATGGGGGTAATAGTACCTATCTACCTCATGAAGGTTATTGTGAGGATTAACTGAGTTAAATTATGTAATAATGACTTAGAATTTTGCCAGGTACATAGTAAGTGTTCCATAAATGTTGGCTGCTGTTATTATTTCTGCAAAATCGAGATTTGTATAAAGTGCTGTGGAAGTGCAGACTAAGCAGGGGTTGACTTTCTAGAAAGTTAGGGGAGTGATCCAGTTTTAATCTGCTCTCAATCCTACTTCGTAGTTTCCTTGTGCATAGTAAGTCCTCAAAAACTGTTGAATGAATGAATGAAGCAAAGAATGAGAATATACTTACCTAAGTGGGATTGTTAAGACAGCTTCTTTAAACATCTTAAAATAGATGTCAATAAAATTTGAAGATGCAATATTACAATTTAGCATTTATCTTCCATGCCTGAGTTAATTCATGGATAGAATTCAGAATATTTTTTCAAGTAAGTAAATAATGGAAGATAGTTTAAGAAATTAAAAAGCTATTACTTTCAGCCAGGTTTTTGAAACAAGCTGGGTTTTCAGACTGTTTGTTTGTTTGCTTATTTATTTATTTGAGACAGAGTCTCACTCTATCACCCATCTGGAGTGCAGTGGCACGATCTTGGCTCACTGCAACCTCTGCCTTCTAGGTTAAGCAATTCTCCTGTCTCAGCCTCCTCAGTAGCTGGGACTACAGGCATGTGCCACCACGCCTGGCTAATTTTTGCATGTTTAGTAGAGATGGGGTTTCACCATGTTGGCCAGGCTGGTCACAAACTCCTGACCTCAAGTGATTCGCCCACCTCAGTTTCCCAAAGTGCTGGGATTACAGGCGTGAGCCACCACGCCTGGCCTCAAACAGTTTAAAATATTATTTTCTAGCAGGGTCTTGAAATACAAGTATCTTATACTACAGACTACAGATATTATTCATATATTTTGGCAGTGTCGTGTTGTTGTAGATCATTATAGCTACATCAGTTACCAATGCTGTGTAATGGACTACCCCAATGTTTATTGCCTTAAAACAACAATTTATCTTTTTTTCATGATTCTGTGGTTTGAGTCCATGGTTCTCTTGGAGATGTCACCTAGAGTCATTCCTATGGGTGCACTTAGAAGGGTAGCTGCACTGAACTAAAAGATGGTAGAATGGTTTATTCCTGTATTTGGGTCCTTGGTGCTTGAATGTTGGCTCAGAGTGCCTCAGTTCGCCTCCATGTTGCCTCTCTCTAGCAGGTCATCCTGGATTACTTTAGAGCATGTTACTAACTTCTAAGAATGGAAGCCACCAGTTCTTCTAAAGACTAGTTGCAGAAGTGGCAGATCATTGTTCCAATACATTTTACTCGTGCAACAAGTCACAAGATTCACCAGCTCAGATTCAAGAGGAGGGGAAATGGAGTCCATTTCCTCATAGGAAGAATGATAAGGAATTTATGGCCTCCTGTAATCCACCATGGTAGCATAGCACCTTATTATCTTTGATTAGACATTTGTAGCCTATCCTCCTTATCTGCCCTTTCTCCCTTTATAAGTTTTATGTTTTATCTTTTTTCCCTTAATTTTCCATGAATGTTTGTAGTTTGTCTTCTGTTTCACTGATTCAGATTTCTATTCTCTTGATAGAAACTATTTCTTTCTACGGTGGATTTTTGTTCTGCCTTTGTGTTGTTTTACTTTGCCTGTATGCTTTTCTTATCTTTTCTAGTTTACTAGTCATGTATCCTACATTTTAGATGCCTTTTCTTGATATCATTTAATTTTAACTTTATGTAATCTATTTAAAAATTTTTCTCAGAATATAAATAATAGTTGCAGTAGTAGAACTAAAGGTAGTGTCAGAAACAGTAGGGTGGTGCCTACCATGTTATGTTAGTGACCCTGTGTCTTTGGTTTAGGGATCTAGTGGAACATGACCAGCTATCCCCTTTTGCCTGAGATACCCTCAGCTTTTGATCATCACTACTGAGTTTTTACATGTTTTAGTGAAACTATGAATTACTCAAATGTTGTGATTTAAAATGTGGAAGATAAGCTGTTGATATGCTAGTTCAAAAAGCAATTCAAACTGCTATGTGACCTAGAAAAACACCATCTTGACTCATCTAAAGGTGGAATGGCCATTAAGCTGCTATTCCCACCAGAAATGGAATTATAAGCCAAAAACTATCATGAACTTTTCCATCATATGAGCAAGCCATAGTAGAAACCAAGTAGGGTCTTCTGATGACTACATCCCTGGCTAACATATTGTCTGCAATTTCATGACAGACCCTGGTGCAGAACCACCTAGCTAAGTCACTCCTTTCCCACAGAAACTGTATAATAAAACCTTATTGTATTGAAAATACTAATTTTGGGGGTAATTATAGCAATAGATAATAGAGATTTTGAGCAGGGCACGGTGGCACACAGCTGTAATCCCAGCACTTTGGGAGGCTGAGGTGGGTGGATCACTTGAGCTCAGGAGTTCGAGATCAGCCTGGGCAAGATGGTGAAACCTCATCTCTACAACAACAACAACAACAACAACTAGCTGGGTGTGGTGGTGCACACCTGTGGTCCCAGCTACTTGGGAGACTGAGGTGGGAGGATCGCTATCTCTAAGTTCTTGAGCCTGGGAGGTGGGGGTTGCAGTGAGCTAAGATTGTGCTAAAAGTGACAGAATGAGATCCTGCCAAAAAAAAAAAAAAGCAATATAGATTTTGGTATCAGAGTGGTTTTGTTTTGTTGTAACAAAAATGTAGTACTGTCTTTTGAATTTGGAACTGGCTACAAGCTTGAAGGATTTTGAAACATTAGTGAAAGCATGTAGAGCCTTGAGTTGACTGTTAGTAGAAGTTTGAGTAGAAGTAGAAGCCTTTGAGAAGGCTTTGCTCGAGGGCTTAAAGGAAAGTGAGAAAAATATTAACGGAAACACGAGGAAAGGGGATCCTTGTTCTGTGGTGGCAGAAAGTTTAGCAACTCTGTCATGTGCAATAAGATGGAAAATAGAAAAATGTAACCTATGAATGAAGTGATCTAGCTAAGGAGATTTCTTATCAGAATGTTGAAGAAGCTACCTGGTTTCTTCTTGCTACTTATGTATAAAATGTAAAAGGAGAGAGATAAGCAAAATGAAATACTATTAAAGAAAAAAGAGCAGGGAACTGTAGGGCTTGAAAATTCCCAGCCTCTTCGTATGATCATTGATACTAAAATTAAGAAATGGGTTCTAGAAAAGATCCAATCTAGGACCCTCATGGGAAAACTTGATCTACAGATCAAGCTGAAGATGTGACTTTAATGTCCTTTAAGACCTTAGAAATATCCAGGTGTTTTGAAGTTGTGACTTTAAAGTCCTTTAAGATCTTAGAAAGATCCAAAGTGTTGCCTCAAAACACCTGCTGGATTTCAGAATTGCTATGGGTCAGTGACTCCCACACACCTCCTAATTGTCCTTTGTTTGAACAGGAGTGCTGATCGTAGTTTTGCTATGCCTTATGCATCACTGGTCTTGAATTCCTGACCCAACAGAAACTGTGAGATCATAAAGGCTTATTGTTATTTTAAAGTGCTAAGTTTTGTGGTAATCTGTTATGCAGTGATAGATAGCTAATGGAGTGACAGTTAAGTTGAATTTGGGAGGCTGATAAGATGGCAGCCTGGCAACAGAGGCAGGTAGTGGGGTTGGGGGAGAACATTTGATGCAGAGTAAAAATAAGATTTGTGATTCCAAAGGTCATGAATTGTTAGGATCATGGGATGACTGTGTATCATTGGAAGATGTAAGCTCAAGAATATTCATGAATATGTGTTCTATTAAACATTGGTAAGAAGAGTTTTCTGACCAATAATTATTTCTAGGAACTACAAAATTTTATATGTAGAATGAGGAAGAATTTTTTCCATTTGTTTTATTCTTAGATTGTAAAGTTATGTTTTTATAGCTTATATTCTCAGGTTAGTTTATTTATATTGTAAAAGTATTTAAAATAAATGTTAGATATAATAGGGTTCTATACTTAATCTAAACTAAATCTCTTCAAGATAAGCCCCTCTATCAATTTACTAATGTTTACAGTGATTGGAAAGAAGAGAATATTACTTTCCCTTTTAACTTTTTATTTTGAAGATTTAAAAATATATAGAAAAGCTGAATGTATTGTGTTCATGAGCACAAAAATATCCTTAACATTTTGTCACATTTGCTTTACATATATTTAAAAATTTTATTTTGTGACCTGATCTCACTCTGTTGCTTAGGCTGGAGTGGATCAAAGCTTGGTGCAGCCTCTAACTCCTGGGCTCAAGCAATCCTCCTGAATGAGCCTCCCAGGTAGCTGGGACTACAGGTGTGCACCACCACCTGGCTAATGTTTTAATTTTTAAGAGTTGGGGTCTCACTAGATTGTCCAGGCTAATCTTGACCTCCTGGGCTCAAGTGATCCTCCTGCCTTGGCCTCCAAAAATGCTGGGAATACAGGTGTGAGTCACTGTGCCCAGTCCATATACTCTTTAAAATTTTTAATTGAATCATTTGAATGGAAGCTGTAGATATCACTTTATCTCTAAGTTCTTCTAGCATGAATTTCCAAGGTTAGGCTATTCATAATCACAGTATCATTAACACAACTAAGAAAAATCATATTTCATAATTATGCCTAATATGGTAGTCCATAAAAGTTTATAAATTTTTTAAAATCCAGGGTCCTTACACTATATTTGGTTATGTCACCTGAGACTGTTTTATTCTAGAAAATAAAAATCTAACGTTATATTGCTTTCTATGACACTGATTCTAATTTTTTTTTTATTATGTACTTTTTTTCTTTTTTTTTTATTTCCATAGGCGTTTGGGGAACAGGTGGTATTTGGTTACACAAGTAAGCTCTTTAGTGGTGACTTACGAGATTTTGGTACACCCATCACCCAAGCAATATACACTGAACCCAATTTTGATTCTAATTTTTTTGAGGGTTTTATATCACTTGTTTTGTGAATATCCCACATTCTGAATTTGTCCAGCTTTTCCTCATTGTTAGATTCAGGTTGAACCTTTTTTGGTGAGAATACTGCATACATGATACATACTTAATCAAGAAGGTGACTGCTGGATCTCTTCACTGTAAAGATATATTTTTCTCTTTTTTTTTATACTTTAAGTTCTAGGGTACATGTGCACAACGTGCAGGTTTGTTACATATGTATACATGTGCCATGTTGGTGTGCTGCACCCATTAACTCGTCATTTACATTAGATATATCTCCTAATGCTATCCCTCCCCCCTCCCCCCACCCCACAACAGGCCCCGGTGTGTGATGTCCCCCTTCCTATGTCCAAGTGTTCTCACTGTTCAGTTCCCACCTATGCCACCTATGAGTGAGAACATGCGATGTTTGGTTTTTTGTGCTTGCGATAGTTTGCTGAGAATGATGGTTTCCAGCTTCATCCATGTCCCTACAAAGGACATGAACTCATCATTTTTATGGCTGCATAGTATTCCATGGTATATATATGCCACATTTTCTTAATCCAATCTATCATTGTTGGACATTTGGGTTGGTTCCAGGTCTTTGCTATTGTGAATAGTGTCGCAATAAACATACGTGTGCATGTGTCTTTATAGCAGCATGATTTATAATCCTTTGGGTATGTACCCACTAATGGGATGGCTGGGTCAAATGGTATTTCTAGTTCTAGATCCCTGAGGAATCGCCACACTGTCTTCCACAATGGTTGAACCAGTTTACAGTGCCACCAACAGTGTAAAAGTGTTATTTCTCCACTTCCTCTCCAGCACCTGTTGTTTCCTGACTTTTTAATGATCGCCATTCTAACTGGTGTGAGATGGTATCACATTGTGATTTTGATTTGCATTTCTCTGATGGCCAGTGATGATGAGCATTTTTTCATGTGTCTCTTGGCTGCATAAATGTCTTCTTTTGAGAAGTGTCTGTTCATATCCTTCACCCACTTGTTGATGGGGTTGTTTGTTTTTTTCTTGTAAATTTGTTTGAGTTCTTTGTAGATTCTGGATATTAACCCTTTGTCAGATGAGTAGATTGCAAAAATTTTCTGCCATTCTGTAGGTTGGCTGTTCACTCTGATGGTAGTTTCTTTTGCTGTGCAGAAGCTCTTTAGTTTAATTAGATCCCATTTGTTAATTTTGGCTTTTGTTGCCATTGCTTTTGGTGTTTTAGACATGAAGTCCTTGCCCGTGCCTATGTCCTGAATGGTATTGCCCAGGTTTTCTTCTAGGGTTTTTATGGTTTTAGGTCTAACATTTAAGTCTTTAATCCATCTTGAATTAATTTTTGTATAAGATGTAAGGAAGGGATCCAGTTTCAGCTTTCTACATATGGTTAGCCAGTTTTCCCAGCACCATTTATTAAATAGGGAATCCTTTCCCCATTGCTTGTTTTTGTCAGGTTTGTCAAAGATCAGATGGTTGTAGACGTGTGGTATTATTTCTGAGGGCTCTGTTCTGTTCCATTGGTCTGTATCTCTGTTTTGGTACCAGTACCATGCTGTTTTGGTTACTGTAGCCTTGTAGTATAATTTGAAGACAGGTAGTATGATGCCTCCAGCTTTTTTCTTTTGGCTTAGGATTGACTTGGCAATGCAGGCTCTTTTTTGGTTCCATATGTACTTTAAAGTAGTTTTTTCCAATTCTGTAAAGAAAGTCATTGGTAGCTTGATGGGGATGGCATTGAATCTATAAATTACCTTGGGCAGTATGGCCATTTTCACAATATTGATTCTTCCTATCCATGAGCATGGAATGTTCTTCCATTTGTTTGTATTCTCTCTTATTTCGTTGAGCAGTGGTTTGTAGTTCTCCTTGAAGGAGGTCCTTCACATCCCTTGTAAGTTGGATTCCTAGGTATTTTATTCTCTTTGAAGCAATCGTGAATGGGAGTTCACTCATAATTTGGCTGTTTGTCTATTATTGGTATATAAGAATGCTTGTGATTTTGGCACATGGATTTTGTATCCTGAGACTTTGCTGAAGTTACTTATCAGCTTAAGGAGGTTTTGGGCTGAGACCATGGGGTTTTCTAGATATACAATCATGTCATCTGCAAATAGGGACAATTTGACTTCCTCTTTTCCTAACTGAATACCCTTTATTTCTTTCTCCTGCCTGATTGCCCCGGCTAGAACTTCCAACACTATGTTGAATAGGAGTGGTGAGAGAGGGCATCCCTGTCTTGTGCCAGTTTTCAAAGGGAATGCTTCCAGTTTTTGCCCATTCAGTATGATATTGGCTGTGGGTTTCTCATAAATAGCTCTTATTATTTTGAGATACGTCCCATCAATACCTAATTTATTGAGAGTTTTTAGCATGAAGGGCTGTTGAATTTTATCAAAGGCCTTTTCTGCATCTATTGAGATAATCATGGTTTTTGTCGTTGTTCTGTTTATATGCTGGATTACTTTATTGATTTGCATATGTTGAACCAGCCTTGCATCCCAGGGATGAAGCCCACTTGATCATGGTGGATAAGCTTTTTAATGTGCTGCTGGATTTGGTTTGCCAGTATTTTATTGAGGATTTTTGCATCGATGTTCATCAGGGATGTTGGTCTAAAATTCTCTTTTTTTTGTTGTGTCTCTGCCAGGCTTTGGTATCAGGATGATGCTGGCCTCATAAAATGAGTTAGGGAGGATTCCCTCTTTTTCTATTGATTGGGATAGTTTCAGAAGAAATGGTGCCAGCTCTTCCTTGTACCTCTGGTAGAATTCGGCTGTGAATCCGTCTGGTCCTGGACTTTTTTTGGTTGGTAAGCTATTAATTATTGCCTCAATTTCAGAGCCTGTTATTGGTCCTTTCAGAGATTCAACTTCTTCCTGGTTTAGTCTTGGGGGAGTGTATGTGTCGAGGAATTTATCCGTTTCTTCTAGATTTTCTAGTTTATTTGCATAGAGGTGTTTATAGTATTCTCTGATAGTAGTTTGTATTTCTGTGAGATCGGTGGTGATATCTCCTTTATCATGTTTTATTGTGTCTATTTGATTCTTCTCTCTTTTCTTCTTTATTAGTCTTGCTAGTGGTCTAACAATTTTGTTGATCTTTTCAAAAAACCATCTCCTGGATTCACTGATTTTTTGAAGGGTTTTTTATGTCTCTATCTCCTTCAGTTCTGCTCTCATCTTAGTTATTTTGTTGCCTTCTGCTAGCTTTTGAATGTGTTTGCTCTTGCTTCTCTAGTTCTTTTAATTGTGATGTCAGTTTTGGATCTTTCCTGCTTTCTCTTGTGGGCATTTAGTGCTATAAATTTCCCTCTACACGCTGCTTTGAATGTGTCCCAGAGATTCTGGTATGTTGTGTCTTTGTTCTCTTGGTTTCAAAGAACATCTTTATTTCTGCCTTCATTTCGTTATGTACCCAGTAGTCATTCAGGAGCAGGTTGTTCAGTTTCCATGTAGTTGTGTGATTTTGAGTGAGTTTCTTAATCCTGAGTTCTAGTTTGGTTGCACTGTGGTCTGAGAAACAGTTTGTTATAATTTCTGTTCTTTTACATTTGCTGAGGAGTGCTTTACTTCCAAGTATGTGGTCAATTTTGGAATAAGTGTAGTGTGGTGCTGAGAAGAATGTATAATCTGTTGATTTGGGGTGGAGAGTTCTCTAGATGTCTATTAGGTCTGCTTGGTGCAGCGCTGAGTTTAATTCCTGGATATCCTTGTTAACTTTCTGTCTTGTTGATCTGTCTAATGTTGACAGTGGGGTGTTAAACTCTCCCATTATTATTGTGTGGGAGTCTAAGTCTCTTTGTAGGTCTCTAAGGTCTTGCTTTATGAATGTGGGTGCTCCTGTATTGGGTGCATATATATTTAGGATAGTTAGCTCTTCTTGTTGAATTGATCCCTTTACCATTATGTAATGGCCTTGTTTGTCTCTTTTGATCTTTATTGGTTTAAAGTCTGTTTTATCAGAGACTAGGATTGCAGCCCTTGCCTTTTTTTTGTTTTCCATTTGCTTGGTAGATCTTCCTCCATCCCTTTATTTTGAGCCTATGTGTGTCTCCGCACATGAGATGGGTTTCCTGAATACAGCACACTGATGGGTCTTGACTGTTTATCCAATTTGCCAGTCTGTGTCTTTTAATTGGAGCATTTAGCCCATTTACATTTAAGGTTAATATTGTTGTGTGTGAATTTGATCCTGTCATTATGATGTTAGCTGGTTATTTTGCTCGTTAGTTGATACAGTTTCTTCCTAGCATTGATGGTCTTTACAATTTGGCATGTTTTTGCAGTGGCTGGTACTGGTTGTTCCTTTCCATGTTTAGCGCCTCCTTCAGGAGCTCTTTTAGGGCAGACCTGGTGGTGACAAAATCTCTCAGCATTTACTTGTCTGTAAAGTATTTTATTTCTCCTTCACTTACGAAGCTTAGTTTGGCTGGATGTGAAATTCTGGATTGAAAATTCTTTTCTTTAAGTATGTTGAATATTGGCCCCCACACTCTTCTGGCTTACAGAGTTTCTGCCGAGAGATCAGCTGTTAGTCTGATGGGCTTCCCTTTTGTGGGTAACCCGACCTTTCTCTCTGGCTGCCCTTAACATTTTTCCCTTCATTTCAACTTTGGCGAATCTGACAATTATGTGTCTTGGAGTTGCTCTTCTTGAGGAGTATCTTTGTGGCGTTTTCTGTATTTCCTGAATCTGAATGTTGGCCTGCCTTGCTGGATTGGGGAAGTTCTCCTGGATAATATCCTGTAGAGTGTTTTCCAACTTGGTTCCATTCTCCCTGTCACTTTCAGGTGCACCAATCAGACGTAGATTTGGTCTTTTCACATAGTCCCATATTTCTTGGAAGCTTTGTTCATTTCTTTTTATTCTTTTTTCTCTAAACTTCTCTTCTCGCTTCATTTCATTCATTTGATCTTCCATCACTGATACCCTTTCTTCCAGTTGATCGAATCGGCTACTGAAGCTTGTGCATTCGTCACGTAGTTCTCGTGCCATGGTTTTCAGCTCCATCAGGTCCTTTAAGGACTTCTCTGCATTGGTTATTCTAGTTAGCCATTCATCTAATCTTTTTTCAAGGTTTTTAACTTCTTTGTGTTGGGTTCCAACTTCCTCCTTTAGCTCTGAGAAGTTTGATTGTCTGAAGCCTTCTGCTCTCAACTCGTCAAAGTCATCCTCCTTCCAGCTTTGTTCCGTTCCTGGTGAGGAGCTGCGTTCCTTTGGAGGAGGAGAGGTGCTCTGATTTTTAGAATTTTCAGTTTTTCTGCTCTTTTTTTCCTATCTTTGTGGTTTTATCTGCCTTTGGTCTTTGATGATGGTGACGTACAGATGGGTTTTTGGTGTGGATGTCTTTCTATTTGTTAGTTTTCCTTCTAACAGTCAGGACCCTCAGCTGCAGGTCTGTTGGAGTTTGCTGGAGGTCCACTTCAGACACTGTTTGCCTGGGTATCATTAGCAGAGGCTGCAGAACAGCAAATATTGGTGAACAGCAAATGTTGCTGCCTGATTGTTCCTCTGGAAGTTTCGTCTCAGAGGGGTGCCCGGCCGTGTGAGGTGTCAGTCTGCCCCTACTGGGGGTTGCCTCCCAGTTAGGCTACTCGGGGGTCAGGGACCCACTTGAGGAGGCAGTCTGTCTGTTCTCAGATCTCAAGCTCTGTGCTGGGAGAACCACTACTGTCTTCCAAGCTGTCAGACAGGGACATTTAAGTCTGCAGAGGTCTCTGCTGCCTTTTGTTTGGCTATGCCTTGCCCCCAGAGGTGGAGTCTACAGAGGCAGGCAGGTCTCCTTTAGTTGTGGTGGGCTCCACCCAGTTCGAGCTTCCCGGCTGCTTTGTTTACCTACTCAAGCCTCAGCAATGGCGGGCGCCCCTCCCTCAGCCTTGCTGCCGCGTTGCAGTTTGATCTCAGACTGCTGTGCTAGCAACGAGCGAGGCTCTGTGGGCATAGGACCCTCCGAGCCAGGCATGGGATATAATCTCCTGGTGTGCCGTTTGCTAAGTCCGTTGGAAAAGCGCAGTATTAGGGTGGGAGTGACCCGATTTTCCAGGTGCTGTTTGTCACCCCTTCACTTGGCTAGGAAAGGGAATTCCCTGACGCCTTGTGCTTCCCGGGTGAGGTGATGCCTCACCCTGCTTTGGCTCACGCTTGGTGCACTGCACCCCCTGTCCTGCACCCACTGTCCGACAATCCCCATTGAGATGAACCTGGTACCTCATTTGGAAATGCAGAAATCACCCGTCTTCTGTGTCGCTCACACTGGGATCTGTAGACTGTAGCTTTTCCTATTCGGCCATCTTGGAACTGCTCCCTATTTTTCTCATTTATAAATCTGTGGGATGATTGTTCCCAATAGCCTTTTACCTCCATTGATGATATTGCCTGAATCAGTTTTTACGTTATGAATTATAGGGAAATTGCTTTTTAATGGCCATATGTAATCCATATTTGAGATCCATATTTGCAAGGAAAGATGCATTACTACCACTGAAAGAACCCACTCTTGCCTTTTCTTTTTAAAAGTTAATATATTATTTGGATCATGGATTTGAAGGTATTTGAGTTCCATGTATGCATATTTTCCTTAATGAGTAATTTTGAAAAACTGATTTAATTTAAAACAATAAGTTAATGACAGATCTCTCAGATAGTTTTAGAACTCCTAACAATGAGACACATCAAATAGCTATGTGATATTTATTGAGACCCTACTAAGGTACAAGGAATCACACTAGATAATACAATGTACTTAACATTAAAAGTTGTAGTCTGAAAGTACTTACCCATTTAAGAAGATAAGACACATATGCATGTAAAGATGGAAGTATATTTGTGGCAGGAAACCAAAATGCTAAATGACTGGTGTAGTCAGTTAATGCTTTTGGTATTCACAAAGCTAGCACTTTCAACTTTGATGCTTGCAAAGCACTGCAGGTATATGAAGTGTCTTGATTATGCTTCTGACATTCTGAACTGGGACCTTTCAAGTGTTTTTTTTCCCCTAATAAATACTTACCAAGTACATGCCTATCATGTTATAGCAACTAAAGAAACAAAAAGAATAAAACGTGCTCCTTGCACCTGGACATAGTTATTGGGTGAGATGAAAAACATAGCAACCTAAAATCATTTAAAAAGTGCTATAGTAAAGGTATCTACTTAGTGCCATGGTTCTATAGAAGGGAGAACTAGGAAGTCATGTTCATTGGGTGATGGGTGTGTGGCAGGAAAGGCTTCACAGAGGAAGGGGCATTTGAGACTGATAGGAATTTTTTTGGGTGAGAAGGGAAGAAGGGTGTTCTAGGCAATAGAAAATAGGAAGCATGCTGAGGAGTGTGTGTGTGCATGCCATGGTTTTAGGGAAGACAAGTGATGCCATTTTCAGAAAATTTGGGAGTAGTCCTAATTTGGGAAGGAAAATGGTTATTCACCCTTTTGTATGTGTGTTGTAATTTTGCCTTATATTGGAGAACAACACAGTTTTAATGATAGATATAATTTTTCAGAGAAAGCATATGGAAAATGAACATTGAAGAATGGACTGAAGAATGAATATGAGAAACACACACTTTACTAACAGGGAATGAGAGGAAAAGGAGACCTCTTTAGAGAAGTCCAACAGCAAGAGAGCTAAAATGGATTATAATGTCATTGAACCAATGGGCAAGATTTTACAAGAGGATAGTGAAATAACGCCACATACAGCGGTGTGCATGAGGAAATGAAATTAAAGGGGCCATTGGATTTGACAATAAAAGAAATATCATGAATTCAGTTTCAGGGATTTGAGGGGAGGGAGGAAGCTAGACTTTTGGGGAATAAGGGAAGAGTGATGCTTAAATACCAGATTTAAACCATTCATTTGAAAAATCTGTCAGTGAAAAGTAGGAGAGCAATAAAGTGAGCAGCTTGGTTAAGTGAAATATTTTTTTTAAGTTAGAGAAAATTTTTGTATATGTGATGGCAGAGGGGAACGTGCTAGTGTGGTAGGAAATACTATAGCTGGCAGAGAAAGAATAAGATGGAGTGAAGGTTGGGAGGAGATGAGAACATAGGTGATGGGGTTAATCTTTGAAAGGAGGAGAGGCAAACTCCCAGTTGGTCCAGAGGGAAGGTGAGCATGAGGGATGAGCAGAGGGAAGGAAGAATTACTGAGGAACAGAAGAGGAAAAAAGAGGGAATTTCTCTGTGATGGTTGTGATGTTCTCTGTGAATTTGGAGAAGGCAGAATCATCACGGTTTTAGAACTTCCTCTTCTATTTATGTATCCCGGGAGTGTGAATGAAGAAATCTCTGCCCACCTAACATAACCTATAGTTGGTGAGTGGTATGGCAGAAGTTTGAAAAGCCAAGGGAGTAAAGTTGTGGTATGTTCTACCATTAGAAAAATGTTAATACAAACAAAATATCAGGCAATGTAACACTCTAATACTATTTAAAAATGCAGTTATTGTACAGCATGATGACTACAGTTAATGTATATTATATTCTTTTTTGTTTGTTTTTTTTTTTTGAGATGGAGTCTTGCTCTGTCACCCAGGCTGGAGTGCAGTGGTGCGATCTCAGCTCACTACAAGCTCCACCTCCCAGGTTCACGCCGTTCTCCTGCCTCAGCCTCCTGAGTAGCTGGGACTACAGGTGCCTGCCACCACGCCCGGCTAATTTTTTGTATTTTTTAGTAGAGACAGGGTTTCACTGTGTTAGCCAGGATGGTCTCGATCTTCTGACCTCGTGATCCATCCGCCTCGGCCTCCCAAAGTGCTGGGATTACAGGCGTGAGCCACCGCATCCGGCCATGTATATTGTATTCTTGAAAAATGCAGATATAGTGGATATTAAGTGTTCTCACCACAAAAATGATAACTATGTGAGGTAATGCATTTGTTAGCTAGATTTAACTATTCTACAATGTGTATATACTTCAAAATATCATGTTGTATGTGGTAAATAAGTGCAATTATTGCTAATACATAAAGATTTAGAATAACCTTATTTAGGAACACTAAATGTATTACTAGTTTAATTTTAAAAGTTTTGTTACAGTAATTTAAAAGTATATTTTAGATAGACAAAATGATTAATTGACCTAATTTTAAAATGTTTCAAATTTTGCAGTGTAGTGTTATTTTTTAACTGAGGGCTTCTCTCTGAGACTAGTCAGTACTATTAAAAATTTAAGCAGCACAAATCCAACTCAAGCAGTCAAGCAAAAAATTAAAAGACAGTGGATATGTTAGATTAAGTAAATGGGAGTCCAAGATGGACTGATCTCAGGCATGCGTGGATCTAGAACCCTGATGATGATGTCAAGGGTCTTCTTCTGCTGTGTGGGCTGGCTCTGTTTCCACCTGCCATGGCTTCATTCTCAAGCAGGCTTCTGTTGTGTGCTTATAGCCTCAGGGCAACGTCATCACGGCTCACTGTCTGAAAGGAAGATAGACTCCTTCTCACCAGTTATATGGTAAATTTCAGAGGTGACTCTGTGTTCCTCCTTATGTCAGTTTTTCATCCCTTAATGTATCACGGTAGCCAGGAGTCAGGGGGATGGCAAACTTGATTGTCTGGATCCTGGGTTATGTGCTCATTTCTTGAAGGAGGTCACTGTGGTTATGAGTTGTCGGGGAGTAGTGGCTTTTAACATTTTTGGCACATTTCCTTTCAGTCTTATGTGTGTGTGTGTGTGTGTGTGTGTGTGTGTGTGTGTGTGTGTGTGTACATGTACGTCTTTGTTCTGTAACAAACCAAGTTGTCAAATGAAAGCCTTGTGTTGAAATCACATTCCTTAGGAAGGAATTAGTCTTTGATTGCTTATATAAGTGAGTCTTCACAACTTTTTTAGTTTATGTTTTCATAAAGATGCAGTGGAAGCCTTTTCTTTTTTATAAGTAAAAGTGTTTTTCATGTACATAACCTAATATTTTTAAGTCCTTCACAAAAATGAAGTAACTCTATGTGGATAACTTCAGTAGTAACAAAAAGAAACAAAACAACCATCCTGTCCCCCACTTGCCCCACCAACCTGGATTTCTCCTTGGGATTATGAAAGCAGTATGATGGAAGAGAAGGTACAGCTGGCTTTGGAGGCAGATAGATCTGGACTTTTAATGTTGTTGGGAGGATTTGAGATAATTACATAGAATCCTTAATATAGTAGTGCTAGGCTCATAATAGGTGCTTGATAAGTGATAACTGTTATTATAATTTTTTAAAAAAAATTATTGAGACAGGGTCTCACTCTGTCACCCAGGTTGGAGTGCGATCATAGCGCACTGCAACCTTGAACTCCTGGGCTCAGGACATCCTCCTGCCACAGCCTCCCTAGTAGCTGGAACTACAGGTGTATGCAACCATGCCTGCTAATTTTTAATTTTTTTGTAGAGATGGGGTCTTGCTGTGTTGCCCAGGTGGGTCTTAAACTCCTGGCCTCAAGCGATCCTCCCATCTTGGCTTCTGAAAGTGCCAGGATTATGGGCATGAGCCACTGTGCCTGGCCTGTTAAAATTCTTACTGATAAGCATTGACTTTTTTGTTTTGCTGAAAAGCACTGGATGTGAATGAAGTCCTGGGTTTTAGTCCTAACTCTTTTGGTAACCAACTGTATGCAACCAAAATATAAAACTACTTGACACACTGGGCCTTTGTTTTCTTGCCTGTAAAAATAAATGGATGGATTAGAAATTTTGTCTAGCTCTAAATTTCTACTATTTAATAGAGTAATTTGGGTTACACAAAAATATAAAATAGAAGGAATCCTAGTATACTGTAGGAAAATTAATGATCTTGGTTTTGATGTAAAACCAAGAGTTCCAGCTTCTCTTCCCAAACTTGCTAAACTTTAAGAACAACAATAATGACTGGAAAGTTTACAGTAAAAATGCATCTTATTTATGTTCAATAAAATTTTGTTTTGATTAGTGTCCCTAAAGTCTCTTCTAGCTCCAATATTTGATATTTCCTTTCCAATAAATTCTAGCCAGGAATATTACTTTAAATTATAAATGTATAGCTATTTTCGTCACAGCTGCCTGTCATGGTTTCGTTTGCTACCATGTCATGTAGCGTAGAGGGGTCATATGGAACTTTTTGTAACAGAATTTGACTCTACCTTACCAGTAGTTAGGCTTAATAGTGTATTGTGTTGGAGTATACCTGAGGAAAGAGAAATTAAGCCAGCAAAAAAGTATACAAACTTACAAAAAGGAAAATTCTGACCAGGCATTTGGAAATGAGCTGCGGCCTTTGGGGTCTGTTAAGATTCCTACAGTCAAGCCGGGTATTATTTAAGATGATTGTGAAAACCAAAGGAAATAATGTATGCAAACTTTTTAGTGTAGTATTTTCCATATATATTAGCCCCCACTATTGTTTTTATCCTATAGGAATATTTTTCCTCATAACAGATTTCAGGAACTAACATAAGATCAGAAAGAATAAAATTGTAGTTTGGGGTTTCGGTTGGCCTTCTTCAGTTTTTGGATATAAGATTCCAGTAGCATCCATATAAAAATTGCATTAGATTTTCCATTGGATATTTGCTGTTGACTAAATGTGGCTCGATAATTTTTGCAGGTCACTACTATAAGACTAGTGCTTCAGCTTTTTTGAAATAGTAGATTAAATTGGTAAATATGCAAAACTGCCCTTGGTTTTTTGATGCTCCCTTCTGCAGGTTCTGCTTTATGGCTATCATGATCTGAATTTGTTTCTTTATTTCTAAGTAGCTCTTCTTGAACTCTGTTTCAAAGAGTTTCCCTAACCTCAGAATTCTCACACCTGGCTGATTGGCCTCTAGGGAGTATTCAGAAGGCAGTCTTTGTGCTATTATACTTTTTTGTTGGCTGGATAAACATCAGTAGTGTTTAAATGAAATAATAACCCTGAAAAGATTTTTATTACCGTCTTTAAAACTTTATCCATGGCATGGCAAGTCCTGTTTCATTGAACATTTACATATGAAATACATGGGTTGATGGAATTATTAGGTCAAAAATGGCTTTTAATGGTTTTTAAGTAGTGAACAAGAAAATTTGAATTATCTTTTTTTCTTTTAAGGATTTCATTCTTTGTTACAATCTCCATATCTCTCATAGTTCAGAGATAATAGAAATTGTTTTTAATATTCATTCATTCATTCAAGAAATGTTTATTTAATACTCATTATGGGATAGGCCCTGAGGAATAACATAGATAACATACCTTATATTTTAAAAAGCTAGTAGCTCATTTTAATTTCATTTCAGAATAACTTTGTAGCTGCAAAATAAGACTAGTTTAAGCTATAAAGTCAATTAGCACACCAGTGAGTTTTGGGTAGGCTAGATGGTAAACTTCATCTTTCCAACATACTTAGCTTTATTTAACTTGATGTTTCTGAAGTGTTTTGACCTATTCAGCCATCACCCCTACTGAACCCACTTTCAGAAATAATAGTTAAGTATTTGCTAGGTTTTCATTAACTGGAACTGAACATTATTAGGTTAATTATATGATATTTATAGGGCAGAAATGGTGCATATCATTGTATTTTATGGCTTATCCTAACTAGTTGGGTGATACTGTCTTAATTTGCCTAAGGTAGTTCTGGTTTACTCTTGTCGCTCCAGTGTGATTATTATACATAATCTCTCTTTTTTTTTTTTCCTCGAGACTGAGTCTCACTCTGTCGCTGGGCTGGAGTGCAATGGCGCGATCTTGGCTCACTGCAACCTCTGCCTTGTGGGTTCAAGCAATTCTCCTGCCTCAGCCTCCCGAGTAGCTGGGACTACAGGTGTGCGCCACCACACCCAGCTAATGTTTGTATTTTTAGTAGAGACGGGGTTTCACCATGTTGGCCAGGATGGTCTTGATCTCTTGACCTCGTGATCCGCCCACCTTGGCCTACCAAAGTGCTGGCATTACAGGCGTGAGCCACTGCACCTGGCCCATAATCTCTTCCTTAAATCTTAGAAGTGCCCTGGGTGAATTATATGGCCCTCTTATAGCTAACACTCTTAGTTAGAAAACATATTATGTGCCAGGCAGCATTGTAAGCATTTGATATATATTAACTGAGGCCTCACAACAGCCCTGTAAGGTTGGCACTGCTTTATCCTTGATTTGCAGATGAGTAGACTGAGGTACAGAAAAGTTAAGTAACTTGTCTAAGGTTGTACACCTAGCAAGTAGTAGGGTCAGGATTCAAACACAAGCACATTTGGTCCTGGAAGGTATACTCCTAAACAGTGTGCTTTTCTGGTACAGATGAGATTGCTCAATGAACATGTTTAAGAGAAGGATGAGAGGATAGCACTCTGGAGAATACTGACATTTAAAAGCAAGTAAAGGAAATAGAAACTTGGAAATAAGACAGAGAATAAGAGCTAAAAAAAAAGGAACTTTAAGTTATAGACAGAATTCAGTTACTTGGATCCCCCCACTCCCCAAGAATTGTCTTCATCCTTTTTTAACTAGAAAGAAATATTTTTCTTTTCACTATTTAATAAGTGCCCCAAAGTGCTAGATAGTTTTCCTTTGAAATATAGTAAAAGAGCATTTATTGAAAGCAGCTTGTTTATGTGTGCTTTGTTTAAAAATTAGAGACATTTTATTTTTTCTTAAGTAACAGAAATCAGACTTTCAAAAAAGCTCTTTAAACCTAGACTAACTTATTTATGACAATTTTGTCATATATTTGAAAGTTAATTTTAGGAAAATTACAGAGCCTTTTAACCACCCTATGGCCAGACTTCAGTGTTGTTCTTTTTATTTCTACCTCATTTCATGTTGAGTCTTAACTTCGCTGTCTCTCTTTATCATCCCCTACCCCTAGTCTGAATGTTGAAGAATGCTAAAGTATATTTTATTGCTTCATTGACTAAAACTATGTTTCTAAAACTATGAATTTGCTTAATGAGTCAGCAACTGTAACTATAATTAACAGTATAGTTTTTACAACCATAGTTTTGTGGTAAATGTGCAGTTCTCAGAATTTAAATGTAAACGTTCAATGAAATTAAACAAAACCCAAATCTTCATGCAATAGGTAGTATATATGTATTCAGTAAGGGTCACCAAACATTAATTGAGGTTCTATTATGGTTAACTTTTCTACTTTGTACTTAGGGATAAAAAGATGAGTAAAATTGTTTCCTGCATTTTTCCCCACCCATTCCCTCCCCATTTTCTTTCTTTCCTACCTTCCACAGCCCCATTGAGTGTCTACTTAATGTGCCAAGCACACAGTATATAAAGATATAAAGAGCTCAAGGATGTAAAGATAAATGAGGATCTAGTGCCTGCCCTAGTTCAGTTATCCCTTAGGAAGACAGACCAGTCCTATGTCAGTCAGCTCAGAAAAGTGCAATAACTGTTGAAGCCAGGGCCACACCCAGTCTTGTCTGGGTTCACTACCCCACTTTCCACTCATACTTTAGCGATGAACAGAATTTAAGTCATCTAAAAGGAGGAGCAAGATTAAAACAGTGAAGGAGGTATGATGAGTAACAGAAAGGAGCTCATTGGTGACTAATGAAAGAGCAACTGCTGTGTTAAGGGGTTGATGACCATATTCGCCAGTGTGGAGTTGAAGGTTAAGGAGTGAATGGGAAATGAGAAAGTAGACTTCAAAAAAGCTGGATGTTGTGGAGAGGAATAGAGAAAATTAGAGGTTGAACATGTAGTAAGAGTGAGTGAATATTTTTTAGAATGGGGAGATAAGTGTGTTTGTTTGCTGTCTAGGAGTGAGCTATAGAATTGTCCAGGTGAGATGGAAAGATAACAGAGAGAAGATATGAGAACAAAATCCTGTAGGAAATTAGATAATATCAAGAACATAAATAGAAGGCCTGGCACAAAGTCTCATGCCTATGATCCCAGCACTTTGGGAGGCTGAGGCAGGCAGATTGCTTGAGCCCAGGAGTTTGAGACCAGCCTGTAACATAGCGAGACCACATCTCTACAAAACAAAAAAAAAAAAAAAAAAAAAAAATTAAAAATTAGCCAGGTGTAGTGGTGCATGCCTGTAGTCCCAGCTATGTGGGAGATCAGGAGGCTGAGGTGGGAGGATCGCTTGAGTCCAGGAGGTCAGGCTGCAGTGAGCAGTGGTCATGCCACTGCAGCACTCCAGTCTGGGTGACACAGTGAGACCCTGTCTTAAAAAAAAAAAAAAAAAAAAGGGCCTGGCACAGTGGCTCACGCCTGTAATCCCAGCACTTTGGGAGGCCTGTAATCCCAGCACTTTGGGAGGCCGAGGCAGGCGGATCACGAGGTCAGGAGATCGAGACCATCCTGGCTAACATGGTGAAACCCCGTCTCTACTAAAAATACAGAAAATTAGACGGGTGTGGTGGTGGGCGCCTGTAGTCCCAGCTACTTGGGAGGCTGAGGCAGAAGAATGGCATGAGCCCAGGAGGTGGAGCTTTTAGTGAGCCGAGATCACACCACTGCACTCCAGCCTGGGTGACAGAGTGAGACTCCATCTCAAAAAAAAAAAAAGAAAAACTGTTTTTTGGTTTTTTTTTTTGTTATCCTAACTTTTGAATTACTTCATAAAGAAGTTTAGTGATCTATTTGATTATGTAGAAGCTCTTCTGATAGTTATACATGCTTAATCATTTAAGAATAATTAAAGGAACTATATTGTCATGTTATCAGGCATTCCTTTATGAAAATGTTAGAAACTCCTCTTTCATCTATACCTTCCCCACTGTTTAACCCTCCAATCAAAAGCACATATTCTGTGGTAAGAACAGAGAATATCTATTTTAAAGGTCATTTGTGTCAAATTGTCCTAACTAGCTGTTGGGATTGGGAGGTGCTATTTGGGTCATAAATAGCAAGTTTTCTCTCCCAATAAAGCAATGTCTGAGAATCCCAAGATTCTCATTTAGTAGATCTGGGTTGAGACCTAGAAGACAGTTAATTCATTTAGCCACCAAATGTGTATTGAGTGTCTTCCTATTATATATTTATTACCATATTGTGTAGGTAGTGTTAGAAGACATCCCAGGTGCCTACTCTGTAACTGGCGGAGAGATAATAAACAAACAGGATAATTTTATATAGTGCTAAGTTCTGTGAAGAAAGTATACCATGATATGTGCCAGATAATTACCTGGCAGGGGAAAGGAGAGAGAGAGCTTTGCATAGAGTGATCTTGGGAGGTGTCTTTTGAAGAGATAACTCTTATTTTTTATCTTGCTTTTTTTTTTAAAAAAGTATTTTTTAGGTTGTAGTAAAATATATATAACATAAAATTTACCATTTTAACCATTTGTAAGTGCACGTTTCAGCGACATCAAGTACATGCACATTGTTTTGCAACCATTCACCACCATCTGCCTCCAGAACTTTTTTCATGTTGTGAAACTGAAACTCTGCAGCCATTAAACAGTAATTTTTTATTTTCTCTCTCCTCTCAGCCCCTAACAACAACCATTCTTTCTGCCTTCTTAAATTTGACTGCTTTAGTGCCTCATGTAAGTGGATCGTACAGTATTTGTGTGACTGGCTTATTTCACTTAGCGTAGTGTTTTCCAGGTTCATCCATGCTGTGGCACATGTCCGCATCTCCTTCCTTCTTAAGGCTAAATAACACTCCATAATATGGATGTACCACATTTTGTCTGTCCACCTTTGAACTGAGATCTGAAAAATGAGAAGGGGCCATGCAAGAACTAGAAGAAGAACGTTACAAGCAGAGGAAAGAACATGTGCAAAGGCCCTGAGATAGCAATAAACTGGTTGGTGGTCTAGGCCAGTGTTGTCAGAATATATTAATAGTAGAGAAAAGTGCCTGGAAAGAATGGTATTAAATGGGATCAGAGATAGACATACATTGGCCGTATTATTTTAGGCTTTGAAAGACCTTGGCTTTTAAGTGGAGTGAGAAGCTGCTTATTAGGAAGTTTTAAGTGGGGGAGTGACTTAATCTGATTTCCATGTAACAGCAAAAGCAAAAATCACCCAGACTGCTGTGTGGACAAGCATCCTTGTGGATTCTAATGCAAGTCTGTGATCGGACTTTGAGAAATACTAATTTAGTCCTTAAGTCAGTATCCTGAGATAGCTGATTTCAAAAGAGCTCTCTCAGGGCTTCTGACCAAAAGTGACAGATTGGCTACACCTGTACATCTCTTCTTATTTCCTAATCCCTGCCTAAATGGAAGAAAGAAATCAGAGACTGGGAGAGGTTACAACAGGAGACAGAAGCTGCTATACCTCTTTCAAATAAGCAGATGGACAGGTAGTGACTGACTTTGCAGAGGAATCACACAGTACCTGTAAGTGCACAAAAATACCTGTAAGAAATGCAGTACTGTGTTTGTCCGAAGCTCCCAAGAGTCTCAGCATTTGGAGGCACCAGATACTAAGGAAGATAGGGGTCAGAAATGGAGCTGAAAACAGGGGAGCTGGTCGGAAAATCTGTGTACACTGACAGGTGGACCCCTACGATTTTCTCCCTATGTGCCCTTGTGGATGGGTGAGTCCCTTCACTACCAACTCCCTGGCCTCAGGAGAACAAGGTTTATTCTTTGCAAAATTAATGAAGAGCTGTCTGGACTTTGAAACCAGGGGCCGTGGATTGTTGCTTGGTTTAAAACAAGGAGATCGGCCGGGCGCGGTGGCTCACGCCTGTAATCCCAGCACTTTGGGAGGCCGAGGCGGGTGGATCACGAGGTCAGGAGATCGAGACCATCCCGGCTAAAACGGTGAAACCCCGTCTCTACTAAAAATACAAAAAATTAGCCGGGCGTAGTGGCGGGCGCCTGTAGTCCCAGCTACTTGGGAGGCTGAGGCAGGAGAATGGCGTGAACCCGGGAGGCGGAGCTTGCAGTGAGCCGAGATCCCGCCACTGCACTCCAGCCTGGGCGACAGAGCGAGACTCCGTCTCAAAAAAAAAAAAACCAAAAAAAAAAAACAAAAAAAAAAAACAAGGAGATCAAGGGAAACCTACGCCTGAACTATAGAAGTGTTAGCTCTCTTCCTCTGCTCTCCTTCCAGAACTGCACAGTCAAGCCTGTCCTATCCTTCTCCTGTGGAAGACTGAAGATAACAGCATCTTCAGATACTGATAGGCTTTCTGCTGAGAGTACCTTAAGTGAATTCTACCAGTCGTTAAGCCCTGTTTTCCCACACAGATCTTTCAGTTAGTTCTTTTCAGGGGCTTATTCTTAAATATGAGCAAACAATCTAACACCATTGGTCATCTGGGGGAAGACTCCAACATTAAAAAAAAAAAAAAGTAGACATAGAGAGGTGGAGAGGGAGTGATACTTGGAACACTGGGAGAAAACAGATACCATAAGGGATCAAAAGAAAACTTTAAAAATCTCCAGTATTATCAGAGAAGACATGTATTTCCTTCCCCACTTAAATGATAGTGAACACATATAAAAGCAGAAATCCATGAGGGTAAAGAGAACGAGATGAGAGATGACAGCAGGCAAACAACGTCAACTAAATATTGGAAGCTGAGAACCTGGTGCGTGAGTGGTAACAGAATTTAGCAGAGCTGAGAAAGCAGAAAGTCCTATGGTGTGGGTAGTTGTGCAAAAACTGGTATTCTTTTAATTAATGATGTGCTTTGCTCTATTTGGACTGCTGGGTTCTTATTTTTGAGCAGTATGCTCTCTCCCAGTTGAAGCTGTTAATGGGCTGTCCACCAATGGAGAAATCAGAATGATTAAAATGTAGTTCTTGTATTTTTATGGTTCTCTTAAGCAGTCATGCATTATACTCTTCTTCTTGTGTCTGAGCCAACATTTCATAGGAGTAGATAACACCCATTTCTGGTGGCACTGACAGCAGGGTTGAAAAGAATGTTATAAAAGAAAATATGAATAACATTTAACTTAAGAATATGTTCCAAATTTTGTTTGTAAAGTAGTTGTTTAAAACTTGGTAGTTCTTTTTGATATAATGTTATAAATGGCAGTTATCCTAGACCAAACTTTAAAATATGTTTCATTAGCAATTAAATGGGCATTTGTAAGTTCCCAGGGAAACCTAATCACATTGTATAGTATTTTTTAATGAAGAAACACTAGCTGGGTACAGTGGCTTATGCCTGTAATCCCAGCACTTTGGGAGGCCAAGGTAGATGAATAGCTTGAGTCCAGAAGTTTGAGACCAGCCTGGGCAACATGGTGAAACCTCATCTCTACAAAAAATACAGAAAAATTAGGTGGGCATGGTGGCTTGCGCCTGTAGTCCCAGCTAATTGGGAGGCTGAAGCGAGAGGATCACCTACGCCTGGGAGGTTGAGGCTGCAGTGAGCTGAGCCATGATCGTGCTACTGCACTGTACCCTGGGTGACAGAATGAGACCCTGTCTCAAAAAAAGAAAAAATGCTTTTTAATGGTAAAATGGCTACATGGATTTAGATTTAGACTTGAATTCAAGTCCTACTTCTACCATTTTTCTGCTATGTAACCATAAGTAAATTTCTAATGTTTCTGGGTCTCAGTAGAATGAGAATAATATCTAATCAGAGGGTAGTTGTGATGATTAATGGATGTTAAAGTAGATGAGCTACTCAGTCGAGCTCCTAGACCCTAGGGAGTCAATAAATAGTCGGTTTTCTTCACCCTTTTTTTTTTTTTTTGAGACAGTTTTGCTCTGTTGTTGAGGCTGGAGTGCAGAGTGCAGTGGTGCGATTATAGCTCACTGCAGCCTTGATCTCCTGGGCTCAAAGGATCCTCCCTTCTAAGCCTCCTGAGGAGCTAGGGCTACAGGTGTGCACCATTGTGTCTGGCTAATTTTATTTTTTTATAGATACAGGGTTTCACTGTGTTGCCCAGGCTGGTCTTGAACCCCTGGCCTCAAGAGATCCTCTCACTTCAGCCTCCCATAGCATGTGGGATTATAGGTGTGAGCTACTGTGCCCAGCTGTTGTTTTCAGTTTTACTCTTCTGTGGTATGTGGTAAGAGGGAGCATTTGTTTTCTAGAGCCTGCAGCATGTGTGGGTCAGTTGAAAATGTATAAAAATTTTGAGTTACGCACGGTGGCTTGTGCCTGTAATCCCAATACTTTGGGAGGCTGAGGAGGGAGGACTGCTTGTGCCAGGAGTTTAAGACTAGCCTGGGCAACATAGTGAGACCCTGTCCCTAAAAATATGTAAAAAAAATTTTAAAATAAAAATTTTGAAATGCAATTTGTGTCTTAAAATTCTGCCTTATTTATTTGCAACGTGTGTTTCTTGTCATGTATTTGCTGCTGTATGCTGGTAGAAAAAGCATAGAGAGTGGACTCAGGCAGTCCATGCTCTAGCCTCCTGTTCTACTCTGAACTAGATGTGTGACATTGTAAGTGCTGCTGCTTCACTTCGGGTGTTACTCCTGATTTGCACAGTGAAAAGTGTTTTATTACAAGATGATTTCTAGAAGTTTGTTTCTGTTCTGACATTAGATGACCTGTGATATGTGAAGCTTAAGACATCTTTTTTCATTACTGGGTTTATACGGGGTGTTGAGGCTTGTGATACATTTACTGTTATAAATTCATTTTAATGTGTTTGGAGGACTTGAGATGATTGGAGATTATTAGATTGATAGCTGATGTTTGGCTTTATTATTGGAAAATAGTTCTAGCTACGAAACCTGTTTTTGAGTGAAAGTATGCTAGGAATGGCCATTGCTTTTCTTCCTACAGAGATAAGTGATCTCTTGGTGTTGTACACATGAAGCTCTCACCTTTATTTTTAAAGTCATGGATTTTACCTTGGCTCCTATAAACTCTTCTCCCCTCCCCCATGTAGCTGTAAGCATTCCTACTCCTAGGATGATTTGGAATGTGTGTGTTTCAAATCATGTTTAGTGATTGTAAGGCTAATCTCAGCTTAATTATCACTGCCAAAGGAATCCTCTGACCCCCAGGGCCAGATCATGTTGTTTGCTTTCATGGTATATTTTTCCCTTTTCATAGTCCGGGTTATATATATAGATGTATAATTCCATAATATCTTGTCAGCAAAACTGGAAGCTCTGGGAGGGCAGTGACTGTATCTCTTTTGCTGACTTTTATCTATAATGTCGGGCACATGATTGGCAGCATTGGAGACATATTTTTGAGTTAAGTGAATAAATTGTTTCCCCACAAATAATAAATTAATAGAAATTTAATGGTAAAAGCTCAAAATGTTTATTAGAATCATGATGGTAGCCTTTGTTATTACCAGTGAATTTAAAAGGAAAGAATAACCAAGGTGTTTGTATAAATGACTTATTATTGTTTGTGCAAGAACAGTGAACGTTCCCTAGTACAGGAAGCAGCTTTAAAAAACTGCTGGCAGAACTAAGAAGTCAGACTGTCCTTGACCCCTAGATCAAATGTTTTTGAGCCTGAGTTTCCTTAAATCTTCTTCAGTTGAGAATAAACATTTTGACAAAATAGAAGATTTATTCTGTTAATTTTTGGTCTTCATAAACCTAACTAAATTTGCTAAAACAACAAAAACTTTCTAATTTTTACTAGTTTTGTTTTTTAAAAAGTTTGTTTCCTTTTAAGTGCATAACACTTTAAAATGAGCTCAGCTGTATTAGCAGATAAACATGTTGATTCATTTGGTCCAGAGCTACTGAATGAAGCTTGCAGGAGCACAGTTTGTTCTTTATGCCGCCCAGGGGCAGAATGTTTCTCTTCCTCTCCTCCTTATTGAGAGAAGGGGACTGGAATAAGTGACTCCTCTTATTTAGGTTTGCCTGAATTGTTGACGAGGGAAGGGGGCAAGATTTCTTCACCATTTATCCTTCGTCTCATTTAAATTCTGTTCATTAACATAAAGTATATGCACTCATACTGTGATATACATGTTGAATTATTAGTGTCATATATTTACAGTTTTTACAAAACCATTTTACTTAATGCTCTGGTTTGAGTAATCTGTTGTTTAAAGGTATAATGAATCAGAGTTGTTTTTAGGCGTATTGCGTTTTTGAGGATGGACTTAATTTTGGAAGCAAAGAGAAGTATGTTCTATCCAGTGGAGTGGAGTTGAGATAATAGGTATGCAGTTCGCCTCTCATACCCATTGTGGGTTCTGCATCTGTGGTTCTATCAACTGTGTGTCAAAAATACTTGAGAAAAAAAAAAAAGAATGGTTACGTTCATACTGAACATGCATAGACTTTTTCCCCTTATTTTCCCCTAAACAATACAGTGTGACTATTTATATAGTATCTACATTGTATTAGGTGTTTTAAATAATCTAGAGATGATTTAAAGTACAGGCCTAGCTTGTTTTATTGCACTTTGCTAATACTGCATTTCTTACAAATTGAAGATTTGTGGCAACCTTGAGTCGAGCCAGTCTATCAGTGCCATTTTTCCAAGAGCATGTGCTTATGTTGTGCCTCTGTGTCACATTTTGGGTAATTCTTGCAGTATTTCAACTTTTTCGTTATTATTATACCGGTTATGGTGACCTATGATCAGTGATCTTTGATGTTACTGTTGTAATTGTTTTGGGGCACCACGAACCATTACCCATGTGAGGTGATGAACTTAATAAATGTGTATGTTCTTAATGATCCAGCAACTGGCTGTACCCCTGTCTCTCTCACTCCTGAGACACAACAATATTGAAATTAGTCCAGTCAGTAACCCTAAAATGGCCTCTACATGTTCAAGTGAAAGGAACAATCACACGTCTCTCTGGAAATGAAAAGCTAGAAATGATGAAGCATAGTGAGGAAGCTATGTTGAAAGCCAAGACAGGCAAAAAGCTAGTCCTCTTGAGCCAAGTGAATGCAAAGGGAAATTTCTTGAAGGAAATGAAAAGTGCTATTCCAGTGAACCCATGAATGATAAGAAAGCGAAACAGCCGTATTGCTGATAAGGAGAAAGTTTGAGTGGTCTGGGTAGATCAAACCAGCCACAACATTTCCCTAAACCAAAGCCTAATCCAGAGGCAGGCCCTAACTCTCTTTAATTCTATGAAGAGAGATGAGAAAGCTGCAGAAGAAAAGTTAGAAGCTAACAGAGGTTGATTCATGAGGTTTAAGGAAAGAAGCCGTCTCCGTAACATAAAAATGCAAAGTGAAGCAATCAATGTTGATGTAGAAGCTGCAACAATTTATCCAGAAGATCTAGCGAAGATCATTGATGAAGGTGGTTACACTAAACAATAGATTTTCAGTGTAGACAAAACACTCTTCTATTTGGTGAAGAAGATGTTATCCAGGACTTCATAGCTAGAGAGAGAAGTCAATGCCTGCCTTCAAAGCTTCAAAGGACAGTGACTTTCTTGGTCGTAGCTAATGCAGCTGGTGACTTTAAGTTGAAGTCAGTGCTCCTTTACCATTCCAAAAATCCTAGGACCCTTAAGAATTATGGTAAATCTGTATTCTGCCTGTGCTCTATCAGTGGAAAAAGAGAGCCTGGAAGCCAGCACATCTGTTCATAGCATGGTTTACTATTTTAAGCTTACTGTGGAGACCTACTGCTCAGAAAGATTCCTTTCAAAATATTACTGCTCATTGACAGTGGACCTGGTCACCCAAGAGCTCTGATAGAGATGGACAAGGAGATGAATGTTGTTTTCATGCCTGCTAACACAACATTTATTCTGCAGCCCAGGTATCAAGGACTAATTTCAACTTTCAAGTCTTATTATTTAAGAAATACATTTTCTAAGGGTATGGCTGCTGCCATAGGTAGCAATTCCTCTGATGGCCCTGAGCAAAGTCAGTGAAAAACTTTCCGGAAAGGACTCACCATTCTAGATGCCATTAAGAACATTCATGAATCATGGGAGGAGGTCAGAATATCAGCATTAACAAGAGTTTGGAAAAAGTTGAATTTCAACCCTCATGGATGACTTTGAGGGATTCAAGACTTCAAAGAAGAAAGTAACTGCAGATGTGGTAGAAATAGCAAGAGAACTAGAATTAGCAGTGGAGCCTGAAGATGGAACTGAATTGTTGCAGTATTATGATAAAACATTAATGGATGAGGAGTTGCTGTTTTTTATCTGTTTATTAAAAAGATTTTTTTAAAGACAAAGTCTCATTCTGTTAGGCTGGAGCAGAATACAGTGGCACGATCCTAGCTCACTGCAGCCTTGAACTCCCTGGCTAAAGCGATCCTCCCTTCTCAGCCTTCTAAGTAGCTAGGACCACAGTCACACACCACTGTGCCTGGCTAATTTTTTAAAAAAATTATCTTTTGTACAGACAGGGTCTTGCTTTCTTGCCCAGGCTGTTTTCGAACTCCTCGCTTCAGGCGATCCTCCTGCTTTGGCCTCCCAGAGTGCTGGGAATACAGGTGTGAGCTACCACCCCTGGCCAGGCATTGCTTCTTATGGATGAGCAAAGTAGGTGGTTTCTTGAGATGGATTCTACTCCTTGAGAAGATGCTGTGAACATTGTTGAAATGACAACAAAAGGATTTAGAATATTACATAAACTTAATTGATACAGCAATGGCATGATGTGAGAGGATTAACTCAAATTTTGAAGAAAGTTTTACTGTGGATAAATAGTATGACACGTTACAGAGATATATTTCATAAGGAAGAGTCAATTGATGTGGCAAACTTTATTGTCTCATTTTAAGAAATTGCCACAGCCACTCTAACCTTCAGCAACTGCCACCCCAATCAGTCAGCAGCCATCAAGGCAAGACCTTCTACCAGCAAAAAGTTTATGACTTGCTGAAGGCTCAGATGATCCTTAATTAAGGTATGTGCATTTTAAAATCATAATGCTGTTACACAGAAGACTATAGTATAGTGTAAACATAACTGTCATATGAACTGGGAATCCAAAAAATTTGTGTTACTCACTTTATTGTGGTGGTCTGGAACAGAACGTGCAATGTCTCGAGGTATGCCTGTATACAGGATAATGTGTGTAGGTTATATGCAAATACTATACCATTTGATATAAGAGACTTGAATATCTGTGGATTTTAGTATCCTTAGTGGGTCCCGGAATCAGTCCCCCCCACGAATACCCAGGGATAGCTGCACTCACACATAATGAATTTATAGTGGAAATTCTATGAAATGTATATAGAGTTGTTATAATATACCTAGGATGATCATTGGTATTTCGGAATAGCTTTTAGAATATGACCAAGATACATGACATCTACTATTATATAAACCTGTGTTTGTTTCAGCATGTTTTTTTCCTATGTTTTGTTCCATGTTAGATGTCATGAGTTTGCAAAGTATAATAAGCTATATTCCCTGCCTTCAAGTAGCTTACCATCCATGTACCATTTCCCAAAGTGTACATCATTAGCAGGTAGGTATTCCTCAAAAATAGATTATTGTCTCTGATTAAGTTTCAGAGATACCTGGATTAATCAAAATTGAAAGTTTTTTTTTAGAATAGGGTTCTCAAATGCATACATTAGGGAATTCCAGAAAGCGACTGTATGTTGCAAGGTTTTCCAAGCTTTGTCGACACACTATTTTTTTTCTCATGAAACTTCTGTGGTGGGATCTGAGGGGAATGGAGGTGGGGAAGAGAGTGGCAGTGGTGTTTTTAGGAAGAAGATTAATGTAGGAGAGGAGTGGGAGGAACACCTAGGACAGTAGCTGTGTACCTGGCCTAGGTTCCTCAGTCCAGATGGTAGCAAGTCTGAAGACAGGGAGAGACTTCTTCCAGAAGATGAAATTCATAGAAACCTGAGGCAAATTGGTATACTCAAAGGAGCTTTGTCAGACTGGAGAGTCTGGGGTGAATTGGGATAAATATATAGTAGATAAGTATGTAGAAAACTAAAGAAATGAGAAACAAATTATTAATTGCAAGGGAAACAAAATGTTATGCAGGAAAAGAAAAGTAATTATTGTTTACTGCTTGGTTCAGCTCTGAATACCCTATGTAGTTATAATGACATAAGCCTCAAATATTGATCTAACCAAAGTTAGGATTGTGTTGAGACATCGGGGGTGGGAAGTGTGGAGGATGCCAGGACCAGGAAACAGCTATATCTCAAATTTCCTCAACTGGCAGTCACTGAATAAAGAAAGCTTTTGGGAAAAGGAAATATTGGAGAGGGAGCTGGGACTAGTTTTTCATAACAAGCCTTGTAGATCTAGTTAATTTAAAAAAATGTGCATGGGTAACATTTATTTTTACCTTTATCAGATATTTTTCTAGATCAAAATTTTTACAATTGTTTTAGCTTCTCATTGAAATGTTGTCTTACTAGGTTAAAGTTTCACGTGTGTAATTGGATTTGAAAAATGTAAATTCACTTTGTCGTTGCCTTTATGATTTAGCTACAAAGATCTTACTTATGGATGAGATGATGACTGGCAGTTATTCCACACCAACCACTCTGGGACCAAGGTTTTCTAGATTAACCTAATCCTACAGTCCTTTTATTCTGTGTTTCCCACTCCTACATTTTAAACTTTGTATCTGTATTATGCTCTTCTGTGCTTGTTAGAATACACACTGTGTTCTCAGGTCAGTTCTTACATGGGCCTCTTCTTTTTTTTGCCTTCTTTAATTTCCTTTTCTTCACAGCTTTTTTAGCATGTCAGTAGCAGAGCTGACTTTATGTAGTGAGAAGCTACTGTGTGCTTCTCTCTTGACCCTTCTCCCCAAACATGGATGGAAGGGCAGAACAAGAGACCTGTGGGTGAGTAGGAAGGGCTGAGGAATGCCATCACCCTCCAGCATTTCTGGTTCAACAGCTTCTAATCATTTTTACCATCTCCACCGCGCACCCCCCCACCCCGTGCTTTTAATAACTTCAAGTTTCATGATTGACTGGTTTACTTTTATTTGCTTATTACATACTTATTTGTTGGATTCAGAGCTCTTAATTGTTAGTAGAAATGAACTTACTAGTTAACTTTTGCTAATTTAAGTATAAACAGAATTAATTGAAGATATTTGTGGTTTCTTGAGCTGATGGAAAGGCCAGGCTATTAAGATTGGGGCTGCACAGCTAGGAACAACAATACCACCATTCCTAAAATAGCTGTAGAACAACACTTAAATAACTGACTATCCTGCTTTTAAAGACTGCTATTCTTTTTTTACAAACTTGTAGGTTGAGAAATTTTTACTTCTATTTTCAATTAGAAGTCTTTGGGAAAATTATGGGATGACTGGATTTGTGTATATCTATAATCCAGAGATAAGGAAAAAGAGGAAACACAGATTTTCAGGAGATGGAAGCATAACTTTGTTCTGCTTTGTGCTTGAATACCTCTTTTTGATCAGGGTTAGAGGATAACCTTAGGTCAGTGCATTTCCCTTGTGTTTTTGTTAACAAAACATAGTTCAGATCCCTTGATTAAAACCCTCCACTGGTTTCTTGTCTCATGAAGAAGAAAAAATCCTAACTGTTCTTGATGATCTTTAAGGCTCAGAATGATCTGGACAGAGGTATTTACCTTGAAGCTCATAAAGCATAGGCCTTTCTCACTTGCAGAGTATCTTTCTGAAGCTGGACTAAATTGGTTAAGGCCACTGTACTTTTCCACTTTGTCTTCTTTCCTGTCACACACCCTATCCTTTCAGGCTGTGTTGGGATGGACAAAAGCAGTTCTGGAGTCCTAAGGAGAAGATGAGTGGGATATGTTTCTGTGACCTGCAGTCATTTTAAAGTTTAGCTGTTGCTAGCTGACTCCATGTAAGAATACCTTCCAGGAATTTGATGGCTGTGCACTCTGGCAGTGCAGCTGGCATGGTTATAGGGTGCTTGGCCGAAGGTTTGCATAGCAATATGAACGCATCCTACGACACATCTAGCCAACACTGGAAGACTGTGGGTAATGGACGAGAAACCAAGATTGACTTTTTGCAAGTTTTTAAAAATAATCTTCTTGTAACTCACATGTGAAAGAAACATGAGAGGTTTTCACAAATTCAGTAATTTGAGACATTTACATAGCATCACCAATAGTTGTGAAGCTGAAACTTTAGTTCTAAACTATAAGTAGTAAAAAAAAAACGTTGATTCTCTATTGTAAACAAAAGACAACTATTTTCTGTGTTCTCTGTGTAGAAAATTATATTATAAAATTGAGGTGGGGCTGGGCACGGTGGCTCACGCCTGTAATCCCAACACTTTGGGAGGCCGAGGCGGGCAGATCGCAAGGTCAGGAGATCGAGACCATCCTGACTAACACGGTGAAACCCCGTGTCTACTAAAAATACAAAAAAAAAAAAAAAATTAGCTGGGCATGGTGGCTGGCGCCTGTAGTCCCAGCTACTCACACCTGCGGCTGAGGCAGGAGAATGGTGTGAACCCAGGAGGCGGAGCTTGCAGTGAGCCGAGATTGCACCACTGCACTCCAGCCTGGGCGACAAAGCAAGACTCCATCTCAAAAAAAAAAAAAAAAAAATTGAGTTGGACAGTGGCTTGTACCTGTAATCCCAGCTACGGGGGAGGCTGAGGCAGGAGGATCACTTAAGCCGGGAGTTGAAATCCAGCCTGGGCAATATCGTGAGACTGTGTCTCTACAGAAATAATAATAAAAAATAGCTAGGCGTGGTGGTGCACTCCTGTAGTCCCAGCTACTCGGGAGGCTGAGGTAGGAGGATCCCTTGAGCCCAGGCCTTTGTGGCTGCAGTGAGCTATGATTGTGCCACTGCACTCCAGCCTAGGGGTGGGAGGGGGAGCACAGGAGGCCGTGAAGGCCAGCCCTGCTGGCTGTGGCTACTGTGCGTGGACCAAGAGCATGTGCAGCATGAGGGCTATGGTGGTGCCCAGAGAGCAGTGTCCAGCGTGAGGGAGATTGTGGTGCCTGGAGACCTGGCAGTATCACCCGGCATGAGGGAGATGCTGGTGCACCGGCTGTGGATGTGAGCTTGCCTGGTGCCAGAACTCGGAGGGGCCAGACTCTAATTTAGTACTTTTTTATGTGATTGGCAGTTTCTAAAAATTTGTAATTTGATGTCGTTTCCTTTCTTATTCTGAATAAATATTCAATTTAGGACCTAAATTTGTTTTTATAGTTTTATGTTCCTTTTTTTTTTTGAAGAGGGCTGTTCCCCCAATTTTATAAGCTTTAAAATTCCGTTAAAACCTGGATTGACCCCTGGGTTTCCTTGTCTGCCTTTTTAATCTTGTCTCATACTCACCCCCTCATTCCCTGCAGTCTAGGCACTTTCATCTTTCTGTTCCTCAAATGGATTATGTTTGTTCTCATGTCAGGATTTCTGCACTTGCCTGGTCTCCTCTTTCCTTAGCTTTTTGAAGGATTTTTCATTATGTACTTCTCAGGACGGGTGTCTTCTCAGAGAGTCTTAGAACACCCAATCTAAAGTATCTTTTCTCCCTCCCTCATCTCTGTCACGTCATCCATTTTGTTTTCATAGCATTTATCAGCATCTTTTTTATTTGTTTATATTTTTGTTGGCTGTCTCTGCCTTTTAGAATATAAGTTCAGTGTATTAATATGAGAGCTGTATTGTTCACTGCTGTCTTCCCAGAGTCTAGAATAATGGCTGGACTTATTAGCATTCAACAGGTATTTTTTGGATGAAAAATTACTAAAAAGCTGGAATTTGTACATTTTCCCATGGGTTTATTTATAATACTAGCATAATTTCTTATTGTTAATTTTGTGTTTGTGTATGGTACTGCTTTCTATTATCAATTGTATAAACTCGTTTGATCTTTTCTGCTGAAAATGTTGACTAAGTTATTATTTACCATTCATTTTGGTTAAACATATTTTGTTATAGACTATTCAAGCAGTCAGAAGACTATAGAGAAGAATAAAGTGAGCACTAAAGTACCCATGTCCTAGCTTTGTCGTACTTTTTCACCAGATTTTTTTTAAGAATTAAAAATTTTTTAAGTTAACTTTTCATTTACAAATTTTTAAATTTTTTTTTAAAAATTCACCTTAATTAACTGAAGTTTATGCATTCTTCTCTCATCTTACTCCTCATTTTTCCCTACTTACCCAGAGTTATACCTAGTCCAGATGAAGATATAGGGTGAGGTACAGAAGGGGCCTGAGCACAGAAGCTTCTGTCCTGTGGAGTTAGGGTATGCCACCCTGCTGGCACATGGATGCCATCACTAACCCAGAAGTTCTTCAAGCCCCATGGTTTTGGCTTTTATGTGTAGACATAATTAATCAAATCATTGGCCATCGATGATCAACTCCATTTCTAGCTCCTCTTTCCTTCCCAGAGGTTGAGGGTGAGGTGAAGCTGAAAGTTCTAACCCTCTAATCATGCTTTATTTAGTCTTTCTAGTCACTGGCCATTATCCTGAACCGATCTAGGGACCCCACTCACCAGTTCACTTCATTAATATACAAAGGACACTCTTGTCACTCCAGAAATTCTTAGAAGCTCTTGTTTTAGGAACTGGGGATTGAGACCAAATTTATAATAAAAGATGCTTTATCACTCCTATTACTCAGGAAGCGGGAAGAGCTTTAGGAGCTCTGTGCTAGGGACCCAGGAGCTTGGGAGGAAGATAAAAATACATATTTCTTGTAATATTACAATATCACAGGCTTGAATACCAGGGTGTGAGGATCATTAGAAGCCATCTTGGAGGGTAGCTACCAGAGTCTCATATATTTCCTTATAAAATACCTAAAGTTCTTTCACATTTACTGCTTCTTTAATCCACCCAGAATGGGGTGTGTATGTGTGCATGCGTGAGTGCCCATACGTGTATTGTGTATGGTGTTAAAGGAATCTAATCTTTTATTCTTTCAAAGATACGCTAATCGTCCCAGTTCCATTTGTTAAATAATTCATCAGCATTGTTCCATTTATATATGGGTTTGCTTCTGGGTTCTCTGTACTTCTCTGCTATGATCTGAATGTTTGTCCTTCCCTACCTCCCCAAATTCCTATGTCGAAACCTAATCCCGGATATGATAGTGTTAAGAAAAGGGGCTTTGGGTGAGGTGATTAGGTCATGAGGGCTCTGCCTGCATAAATGGGGGCAAGAAGGTACCCCAGTGAAGTAGTTAGCTTCTTCTTCTGTATGAGGACACAACAAGAAGGGTGCCATCTATGAAGAATGGGCCCTTCCCAAACATTGAATTTGCTGGTGCCTTGTACTTGGACTTCCAGCCTCCAGAACTATGAGAAATAAATAAGTTGTTTCCTATGTTTATAAGCTCCCTACTTTATGGTATTTTTGTTACAGTTGCCCAAGCAGACTTAAGATGTTTTCCTGTAGCCTATTTTTCTATTCTTAGGCCAATACCGCTTTACAAGTTTTGATCTCTCTTAGGCAAGTCTCCCCTTTTTGTTCTTCATGTTTGGCTTGGTTCTCTTGTCTCCAAAGGGCCATTAAGAGAGACTAGTTGGCTGGGTGTAGTGGCTCACACCTGTAATCCCAGCACCTTGAGAGGCTAAGGTGGGCAGATCACTTAGCCCAGGAATTTGAGACCAGGCTGAACAACATAGCAAGACTCCACTTCTACAAAAAATACAAAAGTTAGCTGGGCATGATGGTGTGCACTTGTAGTCCCAGCTGCTCAGAAGGCTGAGGTAGGAGGATTGCTTGGGCTCAGAAGGTCGAGGCTGCAGTGAGCTGTGATTGTGCCACTGTGCAGCAGCCTGGGTGACTGAGCAAGACCCTGTCTCAAAAAGGAATGATTAAATAAATCCATCAATCCATGTGAATTTTAGAATAGTTTTCCAGGTTTCATCAAAAATCTTGTTGGAATTTTGCTTATTTTAAGGAATATAAAAATATGACCTTTTTAACTTAAAAAGTAATAGATACTTACTAAAGGTATTAGATACATTTAAAAAACTGTTAAAAAAATCCATAGGTCTGTCACTCAAACATCAACATTATTGTGGCATTAGGAATCCATAAAGATTTGATATTGTAAAAGTGAAATCATCTCTGCAACAAAAGGTATATACTGGGTAAAAAATAGGGTTAATATTCTTATACAATGTGTTTCTATAAATCATTAAGAAAAAGATAAATGACCCAATAGAAGAAAGGACAAAGAATGTGAAGAGGCATTCGACAGAGGAGGGAAGTACAAATGGCTAAGAACAAATAAAAAGAGGAGGAAAATGTGAAGTAAAACAAAATGAACCAACGCTTCCCCATTTTTACAGCATTGTATATGAAATGAAAAAAGTTGGAGACAGTCTTAAGTACTCACCAAAAGATGAATGGACAAATGCATTCATTCGTACTATGGAATTCTAACCAACCATTAAAAAAAGATTATGTGCTAACATGAAAGAATGTCTACGGTTAACTTTAAAAATGTAAAGTAAAACAAGGGTTTATATATGTGGTATCATGTTTATAAAGAAAATTATATATACATAATTTTTTCCATAGAAAAAAATTTTAGAAGGCTGTATAGCTCTATTAACAGTAGTTACCAAGAGTGTAGGAGTATGCCATAGAAGAGACTTTAACTGTATTATTTGGATTTTTTAAAAAGAATTATGCCCTACTTTGCAATTAAAACAAATTTAAAACATTTTTGGTGTAATTCCTCTTAGTGTTTGTTTTTTTCCCTAGGCATAAGTTTATTTACTTATTTTTTTAAACAGTAGTAATCTATAGAAAGGAACAATTGTGTTCTTAAAATTTTTCACTCAGTGGAAGGATTCATTCAAAGGAATATTTGAATGCAAATTGGAGTTAGAATCAATCTAGGTTATAATTCCAGATCTACTGAAAATTTTATCTTGACATAATTCAGCCCTGTATAAAAGTTAGAACAATTACAAAGTTTATATGCTCATTACTCAAATTTTAACATTTTTCCATAGTTGTATTATCTTTCTTTTTTCCTCTTCTTCCTTTCTTCCCTCTGTTCCCTCTCTTTCTCCCCTTCTGTATATATTTTAAATATATTTATATAGATTTTAAACATATTTTTAAATACTTAAATATATTTATGTTCAAATATATAGAATTTTTTCCTGAACCATTTTAGGGTAAATTTGAGACATGATGCCTCCTTTAGTCTTATATACTTAAGTGCATGTTTCCTGAAACAAAAGTGGTATCCTACATAATTATAGTTACCAAAATCAAGAAATTAACATTGATATAATATGGTTATGCAGATATTGCCAATAATTGCCTTTATAGCTCTCATTCTACAAAAAATAATCTTGAATCATATGTTGAATTCAATTGCCATGTCTTTCTAATAATCTTTAATCAGGAGGCACATCATATTGATTTGTCCTAGTCCTAGTAATGTTAATTTTGATCACCTGGTTACAGTAGTGTTTACCAACTTTCTTCTTCATTATAAAGTTATTTTTCCTTCTTTATAATTAATAGGAATCTTGTCGTATGATTCTTTGAGATTATGTGAATATCTGGTTGCTCCTCAAACTTTGGCCCACCAATTTTGGCATCCATTTAGGGTTCTTACTTGAATACATTATTAATGATTTATGGTAGTTTTCTAATTCTGACATTCCTTTTTCATTTTAGTTGGCTTTTTACTATAAGGAGGAAATTTCTTTCTCCCTCGTGAATTCTGTCTTACTCAATGGGTTATAATCTTTTACTATCATCATTTATTTTGAAATGCTTAAATGATTCTAGATTGGGCCCATGAAAGCACTTTCAGGCCGGCTTTTAAATTCTTTTGACATGTCTCCATCAATTTTTGAGGACTTGCTGGGACAACAAGATATTCCAGTCTCGTCATATACTTTCCTACCTCTAGAAGCAGCTCTCTAGGGAGCTCTGGTTCTTCTTAGTGGAAAATAGTATTAACTTTCCTTTATTTTTAATTCTTTTATTTACCTTTGTTCTTCATGCAGTATTTTTCTTTTCCTTATCCTGTCCTGATCCATTCTATTTTTGCATGAATACCGTACTGTTTTAATCATTTAGGTTTTGTATTTTGGTTAATTATTTATCTTATTAAATATTTCTGTGTATTTGACACTAGTGAGAAACCACTCTTGCTTGTCCCCTGGAACCTTATGATCTCCTGTTTCTTTTTGATCTGTTTGAATGTTCTTCTCATTCTTCTTTTGAATTCTTCCTGGATGAGATTTTTAAAGGGTAGAGTTCCCTAGGATTCTCTTTTTGCTCTGGAAAACCAGGCATTGTCACTGCTCAGGTATTGCTGGAGGAGAATCTACACTGTAGGAGTCCCTACAAACTTTAGAGACGGTTTGACAATATATATCAAACTTACAAATGTATCTTCTCGTTTCTGGAAGTGGATCCTATAGGTAAACTTAGGAATGTTTGTTATGTGATATATACAAGGTGATTCCTACAACTATTGTGTGTAACAGCAAACGATTTGAATAGTATCAACAGTAATCCAAAAAGTTTGTTAACATTTTTCTCCCTTTTTCTATTCATATCTGCATGAGGCTGGATTTTCTTCATATATGCCAAGACAACATACAGCATCAGAGTAGGGAAAAGCCCAAATGTCCATTAATAGGAAATTGGCTAAGTAAATCATGGTACAGCAATACAATGGAATATTACATAGTCGAAAAAGAATGGTAGGATGAGGTCCATTCAGTGACAAGAAAAAAAAAAGAATCGGAAGAATAGTATTTATATGGAAAATCATGGAAAAACCTCAATTTATGTAAAGGAGAGGAGATAAGATGTTATAGTTGTATTTGCTTATATTGTCATAAACTCTGGAATGAAAAACAACTAATATTTTATCCAGAAAGCAGGGTTAAACAGGCAGATGGATGGGTGTGATGAGACTTTTTACTGTATACCTTTTTAACGTTTGATTTTTGACATACACATGTACAATCTGTTTAATTCAGTTTTAAAAAATGATTTCCAGTATAACTTAAACCTAGTTTTGACACAGCACACACTTATACTTTGTACCTCTAAACCATTGGCCTACAGCACAGTATTCTTAACACAGTATGGAAAGCCTTTTGTCTGTCTCTATAGGATGATACTCTGCAACTTCCAGCTTCATCCTTTACATTCTAGTGACACTGAATTTCTGGTAGTAGTTCTCCACATGTGGTACTGTTTTATATTTGTGTATGCTTTACCTGTATCTTCTTCATATCTTTTAAGAATCAGTTTGTGTCATCTTCTCTGGGAAGCTGGCCTCAACCTTTGCAAGGCTTAGTTGAGTGATTCAGTCATAATACTCTGTATAATTGTCTATTATTGCTCTTATATTGCATTGTAATCATTAGCTTTTTTATTGTACTTAGACACAGATAACCAAAGATTTGCTTTAGTGTATTTTTTTCACTGTATTCCCAGTAGAAAAGCATTAATGTATGTTATTTGATGTCTTTTTCTGCAGGGTAGTTGCCCTGCCTCAAACAGCTTATAGTCTTTAATGGAGACATGCAGGAATGCAACTAACATAAGAGAGAGTGTACTAAGTGAGGTAATAGGCAAGGTCATACTTTTAAAGGAAGCCAGTCTTTGAAATGAATCTTAAAGATGGTCCCAGAGTCCAGATGGAAACATTCTAACAGGGCCTATTTAGGAGCCCCAGATAATGTAGGGGTAGCTTCAGTATAAAGGATACATGCCTCAAGGTGAGTCAGGGAGAAAAGGAAAAACAGGGACAGATTGTGAGAGGTCTAACATTCCAGTCTAAGGAATTTGAATTTGAATATTATCTTGTGGGTGAAGTAGGATTCTTTAATGCTTTTGAACGAGGAATCAGTATCTGTACTTTCAGGATGATTTTATGCTTTGTGTAATGTCTTCCAAAAAAGATGAGAGATGGGGCACCTGTTAATATATTTTATATTATAAAGTACAGTGTTGAATATGGGATCAAAAAAGGAACAGCCAGCCACATTTCCAAATCCCATGTTTTTGACCAGATAGTCCCTTCAACCTAGAATTATGTCTCATTCAAGCAGTGTGATTCTATTCATCTCAAGTTGTCATAAGAAAGACAACTTATATGTTACTTCCACTAGTGATCCCTGATAAATTCCTTCCAAATGTTATTAATAACTGTATCCTGTTTTGACTGCATTGTATTTATTTCTGTTACAATTTTTCTCATACCCTACCTGTTTTACAGTGCAGGGGTCCCCAACACCCATGCTGTGGACCAGTACCAGTCCATGGCCTGTTAGGACTGCCCCCTGCCAGGCCACACGGCAGGAGGTGTGCATTACCACCTGAGCTCCACCTCTTGTCAGATTAGCTGTGGTGTTAGATTCTCATAGGGATGCAAACCCTATTGTGAACTGTGCACGTGACAGATCTAGGTTGCACTCTCCTTATGAGAATTTAATGATAAATGTAATGCACTTGCATCATCCCCAAACCATCTTCACTCCCCACCGCCCCCGTCTCCCCCCAATCCCATGGAAAAATTGTCTTCCATGAAGCCGGTCCCTGGTGCCAAAAAGGTTGAGGACTGCTGTTAAAGTGTTTGCCTTAATCACAACCACAATTGCTTCCTCCTGGAAACCCTTGTTTTACTTTATTTAACCCACTCGGGTAACACTTATTACATTGTATTACTGTCTGATGGTTTTCTGTTTATTTCACCAAACATTTCTTAGGTGCCAGACCTCAAGGAAGTCATTCTTTGTCAGTTCATGTGTTTGACTATACTACTTGATTATTATTAGATATACGAATTCCTTAAGGGCACCTTATCTTTTTTTATTGCACTTAGCACAACTCATGATACATTTAGGCACTCAGACATATCAGAGACATCAGCGGAACAGTACTGGTTAAAAGTTGAGTTTAAATTCTGGCCCTATCACTATCTCTTGGATCCACTGTAGGGAGGTTATTTAGTCTGTGTAAGCTATAATTTTTTCTTCTGTAAAATGGGGGAAATAATAGTTTCCATCTGAATTAGTCTGTTCAAGCTGCCATAACAAAATTTCATAGTCTAGGTGTTTTCTCACAGTTCTGGAGGCTGGATGTTTGAGATAAGGTGCCAGCATGATGGGGTTCTGGTGAGGGCTCTCTTTCTGGCTTCTTGCTGTGCCTCACATAATGGAGAGTGAGCAAGCTCTTTTGGGTCTCTTCTGATAAGGGCACTACTCTTATGAGGGTGAGGGCCCCACCCTCCTGAACTTCATCTAACTCTAATCTTTTCCCAAAGGCCTCATTTCAAATATCACACTAGGGGGTTAGCGTTTCAACATACGGATTTTGTTACAGTCTTTAGTGGAGACAAGCAGGATTAATTAATTTATGGAAAGCATGCAGCAGTGTGCCTCTAACATAAAAAATGTCTTATTTAACCTGTCATCATCATCATCATTTTGACTTGGCCTAAAATTTCGCATATGGGCTAGTGGAGAAAAATTAGAACTAATTTGGTGATTTTGCTCTTCATTGATGGAAAGTATGTGATAACATTCATTAAGAAGGGCAATGTAGGAAGAAAGAGACAGTTGTAGGCATGCTGTGGAGAGATGCTTCCTTCACTGTATCAGTAGAGAAGAAGATGGTTGTCAACCTCAGGTTTATGGATGAATCCTCAGTATGCTGTAAATAGAAGAAAAGAGATGCTTTAGTGTTCTTTATATCTATGTGGCCTTTAAAATGCAGTCCTTTAATTTGTTTTTATTCAAATCTTTATTTTTTATTTTCTTTTCTCTGATTTAATTGATAGATCGGGTTTTTCAGTGAGCCTGGGAAAGCAGAAGTACCATTTTTATGTCTATAAATAATACTAAATTTATTTTGCTGGATTTTGTAAAGTTCTGTATTAAACATTATGGATCTTAAATATATTTTGGTATTTTAAAATTAGAGTATAATCAGTTTCTGTTCTCTAGCCTTTGGATTTAGACTTTTTCTTCTCTAAGTTAATGAGTCCAGGACTGATTTTGTTAGCCTTTCTGGAGCTGTTAAGAATTCCTATTCTTTCGTTTTTGGTAGTCATTGTCTCCACATTTGCTTTATGGAGTCCTCTTTGGTGGATCCCACAGGTGGGGAGGAGACACAGGATTCATAAGATGGCCGGTGGGTGAGTGACTTAGAATTTGGGTTAGAACTGGCCGGGCGCAGTGGCTCATGCCCGTAATCCCAGCCCTTTGGGAGGCCGAGGTGGGCAGATCACAAGGTCAGGAGATTGAGACCATCCTGGCTAATAAGGTAAAACCCCATCTCTACTAAAAATACAAAAAATTAGCTGGGCGTGGTGGCAGGTGCCTGTAGTCCCAGCTACTTGGGTGGCTGAGGCAGGAGCATGGTGTGAACCCAGGAGGCAGAGCTTGCAGTGAGCCGAGATTGAGCCATTGCATTCCAGCCCAGGAGACAGTGTGAGACTCTGTCTCAAAACAAACAAACAAACAAACAAATAATAGGAACAAGGACGGGTGCGGTAGCTCACGCCTGTAATGCCAACACTCTGGGAATTTGAGGCAGGAGGATTGCTTGAGTTCAGAAGTGTGAGACCATACTGGGGAACATGACGAAACCTCGTCTTTACAAAAAATACAAAAATTAGCTAGGCGTGGTGGCACACACCTGTAGTCCTAGCTACTCAGGTGGCTGAGGTGGGAGGATCCATTGAGCCTGGGAGGTCGAGGCTGCAGAAAGCCATATTTGCACCAATGCATTCCAGCCTGGGTGACAGAGCAAGACCCTGTCTCAATAATAATAATAATTGGAATACAATGTGAAATTTGGACATTACATTGTCTTGGTGAAATCTGTAAATACAATGTAATGGTTTTGAGTTTTTTCCTTATGTGAATTTTATTAATAATTTATATGGCAGAGCTATCATGCCATCTGTATGTACTAGGATGTTACCAAAATACATGCAGTTGACAGTTTGGGAAAGCATAGAGCAAATAGTATATCCTAAGTAGATCTTTTCTTTGGCTGTAGTGGTTAAAAAGATATCCTTAAATTGTGGTTTGGGGCTTTTCTTTTTTTTAAACAACAAAAATTTCAACTCTTAATAAATACTATTTTACTTGTGATAAGAAGGCAGGTATGCTTCTGGAACCACAGAAATCAAACTTGAGAGAAAAAATACAAACAATTATAGAGAGACAGTCTCTGATTAACATGAACATAAAATAACCATCAGGTGACAAACCTTTTCACAAGAAAAATGATCTGTGCCCAAGATCAATTTTATAGACATTAACTCAAAGCTGTGATTTTATACACAAAGCAGTATTGTAGCAATGGTATAAACACAGGAAAAATTCTTGTGAAAGGAGTGGAGCCTGCAAATGTGGAACTATGTGGAAAAGGGAAAAGTTTGTAGTATGTAGAACTATGGCAGGTGTTTATATTTCACAGTGTAAAAAATAAACTTAAATTGATATACTGGTTTACTAATGAATTTATGAATTTTCAATGAATTTATGTAGAGCTTATTCTGTTAGATGGGACTAATAGTAAGAAATACTACAAAGTAGGAAAAGTTTGTCTCTAGGACCCTTTTGTGACCTTTTTTTTCTTGCTCTTTCACACTCCTCATGTAATGGTCACCATCCATAGATCCTTCTCTGTTCACTCTGTTCAAAAGAGATCTCCAAGACCTGTAGGCTTTGTTAAGTTATCTTAAAAATGATGAATAAACACACTAGAGTATTGATGGATTGTTTCACATTTAATTGGGACTCTTGAAAGTCCAAACAGAATTTTCTTATGGTAAAATTCAAACATTGACGTCTGTTAGGGGAGATATTTATAGAGAAGAGAACTTTTTGAGTCTGCTCCTTAATTTACAACCTGTTGTCAGTTGGGAAGGAAATTAACATTGTTAAATGCTTATATGCTAGTGTCTGGGTGTCTGTGCTAGGTCATACACAGTATAATTTGATTCTCACAATGAGCTTGTGAGTATGACATTCTTATTCTCATTTTATAAAACTTTTTTTTGTGGGGGGCGATGGGGTCTCACTGTGTTGCCCAGGCTGGGGCACAGTCACTATTCACAGGTGTGGTCATGGCTCACTGCAGCCTGGAACTCCTGGGCTCAAGCTATCTTCCCACCTCTCCCTCCCCAGTAGCTGGGACTACAGCTTATTCAAGTTTTATAAGAGATAAACTGAAAGAGGCATAGAAAGATGAAGTGACCTTCCTAAAGAGGTCACAGTGGAGGTAAATCATTAAAATCAGGATTTCAGATTTCAAAGCGTCTACTTTTACCACCAAGCCAGTATTTCATAGTCATTTTACTCTTCTGTTTTACTCATACTCGGTGAACATGACAATATCTTTAATTACCCTCCAGAATTCCTTTACATGTCTCTAAAGAGATGATTCTTCAGTTTCTTTTTGTTTTATATATATATATATATATTTTTTATATATATATGTTTTTATTATACTTTAAGTTCTAGGGTACATGTGCACAACGTGCAGGTTTGTTACATATGTATACATGTGCCATGTTGGTGTGCTGCACCCATTAACTCGCCATTTACATTAGATATATCTCCTAATGCTATCCCTCCCCCCTCCCCCCACCCCACAACAGCCCCTGGTGTGTGATGTTCCCCTTCCTGTGTCCAAGTGTTCTCATTGTTCATTTCCCACCTATGAGTGAGAACATGCGGTGTTTGGTTTTCTGTCCTGGTGATAGTTTGCTGAGAATGATGGTTTCCAGCTTCATCCATGTCCCTACAAAGGACATGAACTCATCCTTTTTTATGGCTGCATAGTATTCCATGGTGTATATGTGCCACATTTTCTTAATCCAGTCTGTCATTGTTGGACATTTGGATTGGTTCCAAGTCTTTGCTATTGTGAGTAGTGCCTCAATAAACATATGTGTGCATGTGTCTTTATAGCAGCATGATTTATATTCCTTTGGGGATATACCCAGTAATGGGATGGCTGGGTCAAATGGTATTTCTAGTTCTAGATCTCTGAGGAATCGCCACACTGTCTTCCACAATGGTTGAACCAGTTTACAGTGCCACCAACAGTGTAAAAGTGTTCCTGTTTCTCCACATCCTCTCCAGCACCTGTTGTTTCCTGACTTTTTAATGATCGCCATTCTAACTGATGTGAGATGATATCTCATTGTGGTTTTGATTTGCAGTTCTCTGATGGCCAGTGATGAAGAGCATTTTTTCATATGTCTTTTGGCTGCGTAACTGTCTTCTTTTGAGAAGTGTCTGTTCATATCCTTTGCCTGTTTTTTTGATGGGGTTGTTTTTTTCTTGTAAATTTGTTTGAGTTCTTTGTAGATTCTGGATATTAGCCCTTTGTCAGATGAGTAGATTGCAAAAATTTTCTCCCATTCTGTAGGTTGCCTGTTCACTCTGATGGTAGTTTCTTTTGCTGTGCAGAAGCTCTTTAGTTTAATTAGATCCCATTTGTCAATTTTGGCTTTTGTTGCCATTGCTTTTGGTGTTTTAGACATGAAGTCTTTGCCTATGCCTATGTCCTGAATGGTATTGCCCAGGTTTTCTTCTAGGGTTTTTATGGTTTTAGGTCTAACATTTAAGTCTTTAATCCATCTTGAATTAATTTTTGTATGAGTTGTAAGGAATGGATCCAGTTTCAGCTTTCTACATATGGCTAGCTAGTTTTCCCAGCACCATTTGTTAAATAGGGAATCCTTTCCCCATTTCTTGTTTTTGTCAGGTTTGTCAAAGATCAGATGGTTGTAGATGTGTGGTATTATTTCTGAGGGCTCTGTTCTGTTCCATTGGTCTGTATCTCTGTTTTGGTACCAGTACCATGCTGTTTTGGTTACTATAGCCTTGTAGTATAGTTTGAAGTCAGGTAGCATGGCATCCAGTTTCTTTTTGAATCACCACATGAGACCATTCTGCTTGTCATTGATTAGTCTTACTTGAACCTTTTGTGGTATTTTTAGCTAAGAGTATATAGAAATGCCTTGTTAGCAGAGATGACTGACAACTACAATATTCAGTTCTAAATATATTGTTAGGTTTTTGTTTTGTTTTGTTTTTTGCAGATAGCTAACTCTGAAGTTTGTACTTAGAGCAAGTAAGTATTGGCAAGTTATGTGTGAATAATGTTTGGAATTATTACAGCAAGAATTAACAAATTTCTTGTTATCAACACTTTAGAATAGATGTATTCAGTATTATAAGCAGTCTTAAAATATCCATTCAACAAAGAGTTACAAAGTACTTACATGTGCCAGGGCTATGTTAGGTTCTGCACAGAATAGAACATGGAAAACACATGGTCTGTGCCCTCAATGAGAAGGTAGTTTAGGAGGGAGGCAAACATGATGTAATTAATAGAATACACTCTAATAATCATAGTAATGGAGGTGTGTAGTAGGAAGAGTGGGAGCAATAGGAAAGGAATAGTTAACTGCATTTGAGGGACTCTGGGAAAGATTCAGAGAAGAGGTTGTAGTTTCAACTGAGGCTTAAATATTTTGACTACAAGAACATTCGTGGTCTGCTTATACATTTTACATATACAACATTTGCACAAACAGCATTTCCCTCACATGTACATATGAATGCAGTATTTAGCTTGAACATCTAGCCTCTTCCTTTTTCCCTGAAATCATGCATTATCATGTGGATTCTCCTCCCCCCATATATCTTTTTAGAAGACTTCTCTCAGAGCTTCTCAGTTGTTTCCCTTTAGTTCTCTGCTCTCCAGCTTTTAAATTTCTCTGGCTTTTGGAAGCAGGCAGACTCTGTTTCTACAGTCTTTAAAACAGTAATGAATGAAGAATGACAACGGTGGTGGGAAATGTAGAAGAGAACAGAGTAATGGAACTAGGTCCCTGAATATTTGATCATTTTTGCTGTCCCAAAAATGTTTTTTTTTTTTTTCTATTTAGAATAATCTCCAGGCTTAAAAGTGTGACTAGGTATCTCTCAAACACAAAATGAAGTTAAGAAACAGCTGTCTGGAAAGGAACATTGTATTCTGTGGTATACTATTTTCTGGCACATTTTGGTTGTAAGGCTTTTTGGTGATACAAAGGATTCCACTCTGATTGAGCTTACATATACATGCCTATCTCTGTCTTCTCATATACATGCAGCTTCTCCCAGACAGGCACATTGGTGGATGTTAAAGCAATTAGTTTTACTTGAAAAAAAGTATGATACTATGGCAAGAGCTCTGGATTGGAATTAGGAGACTGAAATTCAGGTCCTACCTTGACCTATGATTAATTTGTTCTCTTTGAGTTAGTCAGTTAACCTCTCTTAGGTTTCAGTTTTCCTGTTTATTAAATAATGGGATAGGATAATGCCCTCTAAGGCTTTTCCTACCCCAGAAATTCTATCATTTTACTATTGATGGAGTTGGCTGTTCAACTCACAAATCTTTATTGAGTGCTTCTCACCTTCAGGCACTGTGCTAGGTGCAGTCAAAAAGAGACATAGAGGAGAGAAGTAGATCAATGGAATATAATTGAGAATCCGGAATTTAAACCATACATATATGGCTAATTGGTATTCAACAAGGATGGCAAGGCGATTCAGTGTGGAAGAATAGTCTTCAAGAAATGATGATGGGACAACCCGATTTCCACATATAAAAGAATGAATTTGGACTCCTTACCTCACACCATGTGTAAAAATTAATGCAATGTGTATTAAACACCTAAATTATAAGAACTAAAACTCTTAGAAGAAAACATAGGGGTGAATCTTTGTAATTTTGGATTGGGCAATGGTTTATTACATTTGACACCAAAAGCACAAGCAGTCAATGAAAAAGAAAGTATACTTCATCAAAATAAAAAACTTGTATGTCAAAGGCCGCTGTCAAGAAAGTGAGAAGGTCTTCAGGAAACAACAATTTTTAAGAAAGTGAAAAGAATAGAGTATGGGAGAAAATATTTGTAAATCATGAATCTGATAAGGGCCTAGTATCCAGAATATATTAAAAATTCTTATATCTCAACAATGAAAAGACAACCCAATTAAGAAATCTGAATAGACAATATGAATATTTTCTCCAAAGAAGATAATCAAATGGCCAATAATACATGAAAAGATGCTCAACGTCATTAGCCATCAGAGAAGTGCAAATTAAAATCATGTGAGATATCAACTCACCTATTAGGATGTCTGTAAACAATGATAAACAGTGTTGGTGAGGATATGGAGAAATTGGAATCCCCATACGCTGCTGGTAGGTTTGTAAAATGGTACAGCTGCTTTGGAAAACAGCAGTTCCTCAAAAACTTAAAACATAGAGTTGTAGGTCTCAGCAGTCTACACCTGGGTGTATTTCTAAAGGCATCAAAGTCATATGGTTGTACAAAACTTGTATGTGAATGTTTGTAGTAGTAGTATTCGTAATTGCCTCCCAAACCACAAATGTCCAATCAACTGTAGAGTGGATAAGCAAATTATGATTATTCATAAAATGGAGCATTATTCAGACAGAAAAGAAATGAAATAACCTTGAAAAGCTCGGCTAAGTGAAAAAAACTACACACAAAAGGCTACATATTGTATGATTCATTAATATGAAATATCCAAAATAGGAAAATCCTTAGGGACAGAAAGTGGTTTCATGGTCAGGAGATGAGGGGATGAGGGAATGGAGAATGACTGCTAATGAGTTCTGGATTTATATTTGGGGCGATGAAAAGTTCTGGAATTAGTAGTGGTAGTTGCACTGCCTTGTGAATGTAATAAAAACTATGGCTTGTATACTTTAAAATGGCGATTTTTATGGTATGTGAACTATCGCTCTCTTTTTTTTTTTTTTTTTGTGGCGGATCACTGTCTTGCCCGGACTGGAGTACACAGGCGTGATCTTTGCTCACTGCAACCTCTGCCTCCTCGGTTCAAGTGATTCTCCTGCCTCAGCCTCCTGAGTAGGTGGGATTACAGGCGCATGCCTCTACACCCAGCTCATTTTTGTATTTTTAGTAGAGATGGAGTTTCACCATGTTGGTCAGGTTAGTATCGAACTCCTGACCTGTGATCTGCCCACCTCTGCCTCCCAAAGTGCTGGGATTACAGGCGTGAGCCACCACGCCCGGCCTATATCTCAGTTTTTTAAAAGTTGTGGCACCTAACTAAAATGAACTGTTTTTGATAGGGATAGAGAAGGGTTCTGTAGGAGTATACAGAATGACATTTTGACCTACTGTGTGAAGTTGACAGCAAACTCCTGAAATAAGTAATATTTCAACAGAGACCTGAAAAATGAATTGGAGTTACTCATGTGAAAAAACTGTTAGCAATGGAAATGAGGAAACATGTAAGAATATATCAGTTAAAATTAACAGCTGAAAGCCAATTTTAGCTGTAACAGGTATAAGCTCCTACTTGTGTCACTATGTAAGATTTTGTCAAAGACTTTTTGCCTTAAGTAATGTAATTATCCATGGAGAACCATAGCAATATAATATTTGTTATAAAATATATATATTATATATATGTATGTATATCTCCTAGCTTCTGGGGAAAACAGGGCATTTATTTTTTATTTTTTGATTCTAAATATTTTTAAATTATAGTTTATGGCATTTTATAATTTTAAATATTCTTGAAGCCAGAACTAAATTCTAGAGTTTGTTTATGCTTTATTTTTTTCCCCCTCTCTATATATTTTATAAGGCAATTTTCTAAGCTTTGATCCTATGGAAATTTTACCGTTTTCATTACTTTTGACAGTTTGAGATTAGTTTCAGAACCCTGTAAGCAAATAGTAAATATAATTAGGGAAAATTAAAATATTTCTGTTTCCTGGTAGGCAATAAGACATTAAGAAAAAAATTCAGACTTATACCAAAGTAGAGGCAAGTATAATCAGCACCCATGTAATCATCACCAGCTTCAAAAATTTTCAACTCATGACCAATCTTATTTTATCTATATATCCACTTACTCCTTTACCCACTGGGTTATTTTGAAGCAAATCTCAGATACTGTATCATATGTAAATTTTTTATCTCTAAATGACAAATCTTTCAAAAAATATATACTATTGGGTATTTTTTTAACTTGAAAATACTTCTTTCTTGTGAAGTATTAATTAAAAAGTTATCTATTAGTGGAAATACTCTATATAGTTTTTTATTTGCTTATATATCCATTCTAATAAATATTAGGTATGTTTATAAAAATAATAAAATTGAGGTTATGAGAATGTGGTTCATATATTAGTCTATGCTCATCTTTGTGATTAATTATGATCAACGAAACCATAGGCATGATAAAACTCTTCTCTATAGCCACTGATTATCTCCTTTTATCATAACCAATGGCCTTAACTCTGTTATGCCTTCTGGGTGTGTCTATCATTTAATTTATTGATTGCCCCCTCCTCATTGAAACATTCATCTCCCATGGCTTCCCTGATGTTTGGCTTTCCTGTTTCATTGCTGCATTGGACTGTGCTCTTTTACTGACATACTTTCTTTTGATACCTACATAATGTGACTATAACCCATCCTTACTCTGTTCTTGAGCCTTTTCTGCCCTCTGCAAATTCTTAGCTCTTCTGCTGTCATGGCTACAAATCTTCTTTGTGTATCAGTGAATTCCAGGTACTTATTAAAATAACAAATCAAAGAACTTCTCTTTAGTGTTGTAGTTGAAAAAAACTTCCCCATGGGTATGCCATTGTCATCATAAGTTCAGATTTTTAAAAACTGAGATTATCTTCTTTTTCATTAATATCAATTTCCTTTCAGCTTTCCTCTACTGACAAATCACCAGACTAGAAACATTCATATCTTCTACCTACTTCAGTCCCCTGTGCACGTGCTATTATCTTCTACTGTTAATTATTCCTTCAAAATACATGCTATTTATGTTTTCATTTATTGCCTATTCTAGGCATTTTCTTCTTCTAGGAAACTTTTCTTCACTACTCTAGTTGCCTAAATGTTCATCTCTGTGATTCCATAAAGTCTATGTGTTCTCCACAATCAAGATAATATTTTATGTGTCTTTTCCTCATTTGAATTCAAGCTCTTGAGTGGCTGAGATTGGAGATTGGGGGTTGTTTATGTTTGTGCCATAGAACATGAGACATTGTAATGTTTGTTAAATGTTAATTGAACTCCTAATCTCTTTACCTGTATTACTGCAATATCTACCTAAGGTCTTGCCTTTCCCTGGCAGAACATTGTGTATAAAGTAATCTTAATTCTTTGTGAAGCCAATGAAGACAGTAGATTCTCTATTAAAGTACCCTGTACATTTCCATCATAGGACTAATTGCAATTTAAAATTATTATTAATTTTCTTTTTTATTTTCTTTCTCCCCCTGGGATACCCTCTGTAATGGTAGTCTTACACACAGTAGGGCCTTAGTAAATGTTTATTGAATATGAATGGATGCCCCTCCTCACCAGTTGAGAGCAGTGCACATATATGTAATACAAATTATTTAACAGTGATTACAAACCTTAAGCCTTTGCTCTATTTGCTACCAGACTGATTTTCTAAAATAGTGTTTTTAAAAGTTCACTCAAACTTACTCTGTGCCAGACTTACAATAAGTTTTGAGAATACAGGCACAAATAAAGACATAATTCCTGCATTTTATGGAATTTGGAAATAAAGAGGAAGAAATGCTTAAACCTCTTTGGACAGGCCAAGAAAAGCTTTGTAGAGGACACCTGATATCTTTAAGGTTCTTTTCAGCCAAAAAATTGTATAATTCACAGGTGCCCTTTTCTGTGGCAGTAGGTAAAAACCTTGGTAGCTGCAAAGAGAAGACAGCTGCCAGCAGGGTATTTTTGGCTGTTCCTGAGGCTGCCCTCATTCTGATTAACTTGAACGTTTACTTCGGCCTGAGGAGTAACTTTGTAACTTAAATCTAATTTCTTACTAAATAGAGATTATTTTTAGATTATCCATTATTTTGTTAGCAGAGATAATTGAAAGGAGAATTTAGTAATGTTTTCTGTGACTTTACTGAAGCCAGTTCAAACTTTATTGTTTAATTTTTGTTTGGTTAACAAGGGAATCAGGAGACATTAGCACTTCCTACTAATAATACATCATATAACTTATTTATCCTGTTAATTTTCTCTTTCAATCCCGCTAGAATGTAAACTCTATAAGAAGGGATTTTTGTTCTTCGCTCAATAAATATTTGTGAAATGAATACTTAGGAAGTCATTGGTAGCCTTACCAGGGTAGTTTAAATAAAGTGGTGGAGATGGAAGCTGGTTTACATGGTTGAGGGTTGCCTGGGTTTGCGGTTCAAAATCAAACAGTAATAGTAGTATTTTTTTTTCTTTTCCTTTTGAAAGTTTGGTGGTAAGGAAGATATTTATGAAAATTCTCTTCTTAGTCACTTCTATTTCTTTTTACTGCTGGTAACTTATAAAGGCTTTTAAAATTAACAAGTCCTCTTGTTTCTTTTTAAAATTTAAATAAGTTTTATACACATTAAATGTATTACTGTAAGCCATATAATCTCAAATACTTAGGACTTTTTAGATTTTTAGAATAAGTAAAACTTTTAGGTATTTTTCTCTTTACCCTAAACACAGCCGTGAAATGATGTATCAATAAGTGGTTTTGGATTATTTTTTAACATCAATAAATATGCACCAAAAGTAAATATATGTATAAATGAATTTACATTATTCAGAATTCTAGAATTAGACATCTGTCTAATGAATGCTGTTCTAAATGTTGCTAAATGATTAATAGTAATTAAAAGGTTAAATACAAGCTGGAGAAAGCTTTGAATTTTGAAATGTTTGCAACAGCTAGTAATCTGACTGATGCAGACGTTTTTGTCAAAGTTGAAAAAGTTAGAGCTAATTAATTTCTTGGGAGACATATGATGAGATTGTAGGTGTGATAACATATTTGAGTAACATATGGTAGTTATGGGGCACCTTTCTAATGACTGAGCAGCCAGTTAAATATAGACTTTTTTGGTTTTATTTATTTTATTACCATTCTTTGTTACTGTGTATTTTTAAACCAATTTTGTTTTCTGTAATAGAGGTCAGTACTCGGGATTTTAACAATTTATATTTAAAATGTTAATAGGAATATGGTACTTCTCTTTGAAACTGAAATAAATTTTAGTGAAAGTTTTCTTAAAAATACAGCTATTTCCTACCAACGTATTTGTGTATTATACTTTTAAGATTAAATCAAATGTATAGGGAATTGTACTCTCAGTACACAGTGTTTCACTGAGATTACTATTGAATGAGTACTTAAAAAATGTTACTTTTGATACACGGCACAAATGTATTTTTTTCCCATAAGGATTCATTATTTGCATTTTGACTAATTTTCTTCCAGCCCCTTTTACTTTATAGAGTTTTATTTCAGTTTCTGAATATTAATAATGACAAATGACAACAGATTAAAAGGGAATTAAAATTATTTTTATATCTGTTATTAAAATAGTATCTTAACACCTTGGTAGAGAAAATTTTGACATGAGAATTTTGCAAATAGAGGCATAAAGTAGCGACTTAGATGTTTTTATTTTTAAAGTTTGGAATTTTACCAAAATTTATATGATTGTAATCTGTTGTATAAGCCCCAAATTTTCTGTCATTCAGAAATATCGGCAGTGAAATCCGAGTTCAGGGTAAAAATGTTTCTGTTGTGCTGCAGAGCCAGCCACTGGAGGGTGTTCATGTTAACTTCGTAGTCTCAGTATTCTGCTGATTAGATTGATGAAAAAGTGAAGACTGTCCATTTACAAGTCTTTTGAAATTAAAGCAAAAGTACTATTCGTGTCTGAAATGGAAATAAACAGAAAAGGAGTTTTAAACCTTAAAGGAAATATGATATTTAAATTCTAAAATTAGTAAGCAAATAACTTTCTTTTGCTTTTTACTCAAAGACACTGGTCAGTAATAACTGTAATTTTGAATATACTTACAAAATTATATGCAGTTATGAGGTTCTGATAAGTACACAAACATCCCAAATTTATTTACTAAACTTTTTTGACATTGTTCTAATCGTTTTCATTTAAATTTGAGTATGCTATAGAATTTTGATGTGTACATCTGCTCTGTGACTCCTTCCTTATTTTAAATCTGTTGCAAAATTTTCCCCAATCAGTTGGCATGCTTTTAAGCCAGTAGTGATAAACAGATATCCATGAAGGGCTGGTAGAGTCTTTTGTCCTGAATGGGTTTTGAGCTCAAGCCTAAAGTAAATATTAAGGTGAACTTCCAAGTGATTCACAGTAAAGCACTAGCTTCTCATTCATTGAATATAATTGATAAAGTTTGTATTATTACATAGTTATGATAGGATTTTAAAGACAGCAGGATTCTCTGAAATATAGCTTACCAATTGGAAAATTACTTTAGTGTGATGTATTCTGAGGCTGTAAAGTTTATATCATTTTTAATTGATAAAATTGTTCTAAGTTCTTATTAGAATCTTGAGAAACAAAAATTCTACTGAGTAGGCTGTTTATTCACTTTTTAAAAATGTATGCGAATTTCAGTAGAATAAAATGATGATTTAGAAATTGGTTTTAGTTTATTAGTTAACAGTAGTAAAATAAACTTTATATTGTTTTTCTTTATTAGAGTAATAAGCCGTACAATTTTGTATAGCTAGTAGGCAATACTTAATGGAGAATGAGGGGATAATTTTTCATTCAGTAGAAAAATTTGATATTTGATTTCATAGTTGAGTAATTATACTTAGAAATATCAATTTTTTGCTTTCATAAGTTGTTAAAATATTTTCTACTCAGATAAGTCTGTCTTTATGTCATAAAGTAAGTAAATGACAGATATCAGATCCATAAGCCAACATTAAAATTCACTATAATATACTTGGCCCTAATCCTGAAAGCTCTGGTTCGTTCTAGAAATGTTTCTGGAACAGTGAGTACATGATTTTGGGAGATTAGAAGATTTACATTTTAAATACAGTGTCAATGATCTTTACCTTGCCATGCATAAATTGTGTTGCCAGATGTGCTTAGGTCAATGTTTTAACCATTCACATATCCTGTTTATTTTATGAAATTATTTCATGAGTCTTGAAGTGGGACTTATGATTGAAACGAAGGGTTTGAGAGAAAGTATGTTAATAGTCTTATTAATAGTACGGAAAACAGTCCGTTTGGAGCATGATGCGCTCTGTCACATAGAAACAGTTTTTGGATGCTTTCATAGCCATCTGTAGAGGGTGGATCATTGATTATACATCAGTCAGATAAAAAAGATAATTTTGACATTATCTCTTCTTCCTGAAATACCTTGCTTCTGAAAAATGTGTGTTAGCTTGATCAAATTATTACAAAGGAGTTTCAAAGGGGGTATTTAATAAACATATTACATAGCAAATTTATTGTCTATGATTTTTAGTATTTTCTGTTGACATAAATTTAGGAACAGATGATCAGCAATCTAAACAGAATAAATGATTATTTTTCCCCTCTAGGAATGAAAGATAACTTTAATAAACATAATTTAAGTATCCATTTCACATGATTTAGTCACTAAATACATGCCAGAAATTCTTAGACACTCAGAATTCCTAAGAAGATATTAAACGTATTCTTCAGAAATTTGGGGGTAACTGTAGATGTTTTTATTCATTTACAGTTGCCAGGTATCCTGACCAAAATGTGTTATTTTGACGTTTAGAAATTGTCCTAGCATCCCAATTTCTTATGAGGTACTCAGTTTGGATTAGTGACAGTGCAACGTTGAGACAAGAGAGATTCCAGGATAAAGGAATCAAAATTCTGTGCCTTTTTGCTTCAGTAAGAAAATACTTATTATATTTCTTAAAATGTGTACATATTTTTTAAAGTACATTCATCTTTCCTTAAAAAATTTAACATCATTAAGTTAATAGTATCTCTTCCCAGCTAACAGTTACTTCTTATTAAATATCCAACGTGGTGCTATGGGCTTTGCTTGTAGTTGTCATTTAATGTGTTTAAATGGTTAAGGGTAAAGTAACTCATGTGAGTGGGATCATACAATATTTTTCCCTTTGTGACTGGCCTATTTCATTTAGCTTAATGTCTTTAGGGTTCACCCATTTTGTACCATGTGTCAAAATTTCTTTTTTTAAGACTGAGTAATGTTCCATTGTATGTATATGCCACATATTGTTTATCCATTTATCCATTGATGGTCTTTTAGTTTTTATTTGTGCGAAAATGCATTCATTTTTTCCATATTTTTAAAGGATGTTTTTACTGAGTAAGACAGTTCTAGGTCAGGGTTTATTTTCTTTTACTCACTGAAGATAAGCATTCCTCTGTCTAAATTATGATATTTAGCTTGTCCATTGAGTCTTTATTTTTGGACATCGTATTTTTCAGTTCTCAAAATTTGTTTCTCTTCCAAATTAGACATGTCTCTTGTATAGTTTTATATTTCACTGAGGAAAATTTCAAGTTTGGCTTCTGTTTTCTTGTACATAGAGTAAATGTAGTTGTTTCATTTACACTCTGTGTCTGATACTTTCAGTATTTGAAGTCCCTGCTCTGGTGTCTTGGCTTATTAGATGCTGGTTATAAATACTGGCTGTGCTGGTTATTATTCATGTTAGTTATGTTACATAAAGGGGCCACAGATACTGACCCATTGCTCTAGGTGAAATACAGGGCTGGGTTCTTGCAAGTCTCTGGTCACGTCTTCATCAGCTGATCAATTACATAACCTGGTTTTATGTGTGTTTCTGTTTGAGGACATCTTATTTAATATTATTTATTAATTAACATTGAACTCATGGCCATGAACACTATAACTCATGCCTGAATGAAGCTTATTTAAACAAACATTTATTCTCCATAAGGCATATCATAGCCTTCTTTTGCTGAGAAACACTAGGTGAGACTTCAACACTATACATGAGGGCCATTAAACTGAAATCACCAACAGGAAGCACAAAAATGTGAAAAACATGGCACTAAATACTGTGAAAAGGACATTGTTTGTAATAGGAGAGCTGAAGGAAGAAGGCTGAGTGACACCTTGTTCAGCCTCATGTGAGAACATGGGCATCAGTTTATTCAAATTTTTTTGCTGCTCTATGCCTGCAAATGACCCCTAAAGCACCCAGATTTTTTATCACAAATAATTTTAGGTGAGTAGGTGAATTTGCAAATACAGAATCCATGAATAATGAAGATTAAATATGTTAGCTGGGCATAGTATTTGAAAATTATTTGTAGAAATATGAAGCCTTGGGTTGGGCATGGTGGCTCCCATGGTAATCCCAGCACTTTGGGAGGCTGAAGCTGGAGGATCACTTGAGACTAGGAGTTCAAGACTAGCCTGGGCAACATAGCAATATCCTGTCTCCATGACAAAAAAAAAAAAAAAAAAAAAAGCCAGATATAGAGGTACATGCCTGTAGTCCCAGCTATTTGAGAGGCTGAGATAGGAGGATGCTTGAGCCCAGGAGGTTGAGGCTGCAGTGGGCAAAGGCCACACCACCGTACTCCTGTCTGGGCGACAGAGTGAGACCCTGTCTCTAAAAAGACAAAATGAAGCCTTGAGTAAAGTTATCTTCATTTAATATCTGCTGGATGCCTTGGATAGCAATCTAGGAGTAGCCTAACCCAAGTTTAAAGCCTAAAGTTTCCTGGTCCACTCAGGTGACATGAATCTAGGGTGCAGATCTGTGCAAGATTTAGTTTATTTTTTGGTTCCCCATTGACATTAACGATCAGCCATTTGTGATTTCAGCTTAATGTGGCAATTGACTTATCAGAGTCCTAATTTTGTCTTAC